>NW_003571055.2:256632-394095 GCF_000001405.40 Homo sapiens | reverse complement strand
GAATTCCAAACGTCATGATGTGCACAGTTGGGCATGTGTACATCAGAGTGCAGGACAGTGAGGTGCTGGTGGTGACTGTGCAACCCAATAGAGCTCAGTGGCTCCACGTTGCCCATAGAATCAAGTCACACCCTCAGCCCTGAGTTTATACCCTCCATCATTTGGCCCTGCATCAGCCCTCTCCATATGGATAATATTCTAGATGAGTGGTTTCCAACTGATAGGGCCACAACCCACAGTGAGAAATACATTTTACATTATGATCTAGTATACACACACACACACAAAAAAAAAAAAAAAAAAAAAAGTAAAAAGTTTCTGACCACTATGTGCAATGCTCTTGGATAATTTCTATCCTCTGTTACTTCTATTTTGTAATTCAAATCTGGTCACAACCTTCTAAATTGTTTTGTGGCTGGCTAATGGATCTTGGATTGCCACCTGAGAAACATGAATCCTGAATTGCAGAGAACAATCTGGGTTGGTGTTAGAAAAGGGGTAACTGGGGGCCAGGCGCAGTGGCTCGAGCCTGTAATCCCAGCACTTGGGGAGGTGGAGGTGGGCAGATCACTTGAGGTCAGGAGTTCGAGACCAGCTTGGCCAACATGGTAAAACCCTGTCTCGGCCAGGCCCAGTGGCTCACGCCTGTAATTCCAGCACTTTGGGAGGCCGAGGCCAGTGGATCACCTGAGGTCAGGAATTCGAGACCAGTCTGGCCAACATGGCGAAACCTTGTCTCTACTAAAAATACAAAAAAATTAGCCTGGCATGGTGGTGTGTGCCTGTAATCCCAGCTACTTGGGAGGCTGAGGCAAGAGAATTGCTTGAATCCAGGAGGCGGAGGTTGCAGTGAACTGAGATTGTGCCACTGCTCTCCAGCCTGGACAACAGAGCACGACTCCAACTCAAAAAAATAAACAAACAGGCCAGGCATGGTGGCTCATGCCTGTAATCCCAGCACTTTGGGAGGCCAAGGCGGGCGGATCACGAGGTCAGGAGTTCGAGACCAGCCTGGCCAACATGGTGAAGCCCCATCTCTAGTAAAAATACAAAAATTAGCTGGATGTGATGGCACACTCCCATAGTCACAGCTACTCGGGAGGCTGAGACAGGAGAATTGCTTGAACCTGGGAGGCAGAGGTTGCAGTGAGCCGAGATTGTGTCATTGCACTCCGGCCTGGGTGACAGAGCAAGACTCTGTCTCAAAAAAAAAAAAAAATACCCTGTCTCTACTAAAAATACAAAAAAATTATCTGGACATGGCAATGTGTGCCTGTAATCCCAGGTACTCAGGAGGCCAAGGCATGAGAATAGCTTGAACCTGGGAGGCAGAGGTTGCGGTGAGCTGAGATTGTGCCACTGTACTCCAGCCTGGGCGACAGAGTGAGACTCTGTCTTAAAAAAGAAAAGGGGTAAATGTTACTAAGTAGAAGTAAGTTATATTGGCTTCCAGGGGGAGCTCATTGCTTTGTTCTTGCTGCTGTGTCCTCAGCATGCTGCTTTCTTACATGAAATACACACACACACACACACACACACACACACACACACACACACACCCCATAGTCACCACATATGCCATTCCCCTTCATTCCCCTAGAAAAAGACTTTAAATTGATGGACTCTCTCTCTCTCTCTCTCACTCTCTCTGTCTCTCTCTCTCTCTGTCTCTCTCTGTCTCTCTCTGTCTCTCTCTCTCTCTTTGTTTCTCTGTCTCTGTCTTTGTCTCTCTCTCTCTGTCTCTCTCTCTTTCTCTCTCTATCTCTTTGTCTCTGTCTCTCTCTCTGTCTCTCTCTGTCTCTCTTTCTCTCTCTGTCTCTCTCTTTGTCTCTCTCTGTCTCTCTCTGTCTTTGTCTCTCTCTCTCTTTGTCTCTCTCTCTCTGTTTCTCTCTCTCTCTCTGTCTCTCTTTGTCTCTCTCTCTGTCTCTCTCTCTCTCTCTTTATCTCTTTCTCTCTCTCTCTCTGCTTTACTCTGGCTCTTTCTGTCCCCACCTCTCTGTCTCCCTCACATGTGTTTTGGGCCCCAGAAGGCAAGCCTCTTTAGAGAATGGCTTAGCCTGCATCGATTAAACCCAGGACATCCATCCTCCTGCATGGGACATCTGCAATGCTGCCTGACAGAAATGTATTATCTCTACCTTCTCCGGCCGTGGTTCCCTGGGTCTGTTTCTGCTGAGGAAAACAAACGGTCATTCCAGGTGGCCCTTGGGTATTTCTAGAGCCCTTGGCTGAATACCACCCCTAAACCATCTCAAGCTCTGCAGGTGTTCATTCATGGCTTGGGACGCATGCAAACCCCCTGGTAGAGGGTAGCTCAGAGAACATGGCTGTTGCTATTTCGTTTCAGCCAACGCTTGCCATATGGGAAGAGGGACCTGGCACCACCAGATGTTCCAAATTTCCAAGAGAAGGCAGAAATCTGGATATTTTTAAAAGCAAAATCCCTCAGCTTTTAAATGTTAAAACTAATTCAAATGAAAAAAAAATGCTGTGTGGGCCAAATAAAACCTGTCTGTGGGTTGGAGCTGGCTGGTTTATAAGCTCTGGTCTAGCCAGACATGGAGTAGTACAGGCATGAAAGGGACAAGTGGAGAAAGAGGGGCCCACAATGAGACTGAGAAGGAGCAGCCACAGGGATGGGAGGGAAGATTGGGGGAGGCAGTGATGCTGCCTCCTCCAGGAAGGCCTCCTGACCAGCTTCTGCTGACAGAAGGCAAGGACAGCTCCTGGCTGAAGGACTCAGCATGTGCTTCCCACGGCTTAAGCTTTGGGAGACTTGCCTGCTTAACTGAGTGGCTGTAAGAATGCCAGGAGAGATTTCCAACTGCTTGGTCCTGTGCCTAGCACATAGTAGGTTCTCAATAAATCAGGACCATGTGTGCTGTGCTAACAGCTGTGCTTCAATGATGTATCTGTTCCCCACACACGTATTGAGTGCCTACTATGTCCCAGGCACTGCTGCATGTTCTGGAGAAATGGGCATAAGCAAAAAAGACAAAGTCTCCAGTTGGCACAACTAAAACCGCTGGAGTACAGAAGGTAGAAAATTGAGGAATGAACAGGTGAGCTGAGTCTATACTATCAGGTAAGAGGAAGCAACACATAGATGTGAGTGGATGTGGTGGGGATGAGGTGGTCACTACTTTTTTTTTTTTGAGACAGAGTCTTGCTCTGTTGCCCAGGCTGGAGTGCAGTGGCGTGATCTTGGTTCACTGCAACCTCCACCTCCCCGGTTCAAGCAATTATCTGCCTCAGCCTCCCAAGTAGCTGGGATTACAGGTGCCTGCCATCACACTCAGCTAATTTTTTGTATTTTTAGTAGAGACGGGGTTTCACCATCTTGGCCAGGCTTGTCTTGAACTCCTGACCTCATGATCCACCTGCCTCGGCCTCCCAAAGTGCTGGGATTACAGGCGTGAGCCACCACGTCTGGTGGTTGCTACTTATATAATAGAAGGTGCTCAGGGAATGTCTCTCTCTCCATTTGGATGATATCTGAACAGAGACACAAATGAAGGACGCTCTTTAGTTCATGATTGGCATGACTAAGAGTTCATGCTTTGCAGCCACATTATCTGGTTTCAACCCTGGCTCAGCTCCTTATTAGCTCGGTGACCTTAGACAATTTTCTCAACTCTGTGCTTTCGGTTCACATAAACAGGATGAAAATAATAACCTTGGCCAGGCTCAGTGGCTCATGCCTGTAATCCCAGCACTTTGAGAGACCAAGGCGGGGGGGATCAGCTGAGATCAGGAGTTCGAGACCAGCCTGGCCAACATGACGAAACCCAGTCTCTACTAAAAATAACGAAAATTAGCCGAGCATGGTGGCACGTGCCTGTGATCCCAGCGACTCAGGAGGCTGAGGCAGGAGAATCGCTTGAATTCGGGAGGCAGAGGTTGCAGTGAGCCAGGATCGCACCACTTCACTCCAGCCTGGGCAACAAGAGTGAAACTCTGTTTAAAAAAAAAAAAAAAAGCAAGAAAGAGCAACCTTAACCAATTCCACAGGATTGTTGTGCAGATCGAGTGAACACGCGGGAAGTGTTTGCTGACAAAGTGCTTGACAAGCGCTCGCGAATTATTACGAGGGTGACAGTTGTTGATTTTTAAAAATGACTACAGTGACATCTGCCAAATAGAAGGAAAGCAAAGTGAAGGAATTCACAAGTACATAAGAAAATGACCGGAAAAGGCATAAATACGTAAAGCTGTTCAGCCTTCAGATGTTCAGTCATCCTTATGATCTTTCCCTCCCTCCCCGCCTCCCTTCCTTCCTTCCCTCCTTCCTTCTTTCCTCTTTCCCTCCCTCCCTCCCTACCCCTTCCTGCCTTCTGGCCTTCCTTCCTTCCTCCCTCCCTCCCTCCCTCCCCCCTTCCTTCCTCCCTCCCTCCCTCCCTGCCTCCCTCTCTTCCTTTCTCCTTCCTTCCTCCTTCCTCCCTCTCTTCCTTTTTACCTTCCTTCCTTCCTTTCCTCCCTCCCTCCCCTCCTTCCTCCCTCCCTTTCTTCCTTCTTTCCTTCCTCTCTCTCTCCCTTCCTTTCTTCCCTCCTTCCTTCTTCCTTCATTGCTACCTTCCTTCTTCCTTCCTTTTCCCCTCCTTTCTTTCGATTACATGTTTAATAGCTGCCAGGCTGTGTTAAGTAAGCCCTGGGATCTATTAATAATAAAGAAGAATCCATACATTCATTGGTTTGTTCATTCCCCAAGTATTTATTTATTGGACAGCTACTAGGTGCCAGGCATTGTTCTAGGCCCTGGGAATTCAGCAGTGAACTAAAGGGATGAAAATCTCTGCTTTCACAGAGCATGATAGAGATAACTCATTAGGCAAATGAGCAAATATGCAGATATAGCCAGTTTATTAAATAAGCTGATGTCATGGTTAACTTTATGCGTCAACTTGACTGGCCTAAGGGATGCCCAGATAGCTGGTAAGACATTATTTCTGGATGTGTCTGTGGGGGTGTTTCTGGAAGAGGTGAGCATTTGAATCAGTAGACTGAGTAAAGAAGTTCTCCCTCACCAATGTGGGCGGGCCTCATCCAATCTGCTGGAGGCTCGAATAGAACAAAAAGCAGAGGAAGGGCGAATTCACTGTGTTTTCTTAACTGGCGCATCCATTTTCTCTTGCCCTAGGACATCAAACTTCCTGGTCCTCATGCCTTTAGCCTCAGACTGAATGACACCACCAGCTTTCCTGCTTCTTCAGCTTATGGACAGCACGTCGTGGGACTCCTCAGCCTCCAGAATTGTGTAAGAAAAGTTCTCATAATAAACCTCTGCTGGTATCTCTTTATATATCTCTTTGGTTTTCTTTCTTTGGACAAATCTGACTAATAGAGCTGCATTCAACCACAGTGAAATACCAACAGCCCAAAGCAGGCCTGAGATCCAAAGATTCCAGGAATGAAGCACCCGAGTGTTATCCATTATTGATGAGAGAGTAAAGGGTACAAACCCTGTAGGAAAAGGCCTGGCAGCTTCTTACAAATCTAAGCCCACACCTATCCCATGACCCAACAATTCTACTCTTTTTTGTTTGTTTGTTTTTTAGACGGAGTCTCACTGTGTCACCAAGCTGGAGTGCAATGGCATGATCTCAGCTCACTGCAACCTCTGCCTCCCAGGTTTAAGTGATTATTCTGCCTCAGCCTCCCGAGTAGCTGGGACTACAGGTGTACACCACCATGCCTGGCTAATTTTTGTATTTTTAGTAGAGATGGGGTTTCACCATGTTGGCCAGGCTGGTCTCAAACTCCTGACCTCACGTGATCTGCCCACCTCGGCCTCCCAAACTGCTGGGATTACAGGCGTGAGCCACCACGCCCGGCCAACAATTCTACTTTTACCCAAAAGAAAAGAAAATATTTATCCACACCAAGAATTTTGCAAGACTGTTTACAGCAGCTTTATTCATAATAGCCTCAGGCTAGAAACATCCTGTATGCCTATCAACAGGGGAATGGACCAAGATAGGTAATATAGCCACAGAATGGAATACTACTTAGCAATGAAAAGGCACAAGCTAATAATGCATGCAGCAATATGGGTCGGTCTCAAAATTATTGTGCTGAGTGTCAGAAACAAAGGAGGATGCACTGTATGAGTTCAGTTAGATGATTTTCCAAACAGACAGAATTAACATATGGTAGCAAAAATAATAAAAACAGTGGTTGCCTCTGGGTGAGTAGGGTCAGGGTGACTGGGAAGGGGGCTGGGGGAACTTCCTGGGATAAAGGGCCTCGTTCTGTATCTTGATGAGGGTTCGTTTTGTACCAGTGTCTGCATTTGTCGCTCACTTAAGATTTGTGAATTTCTGGCCAGGTGCGGCGGCTCACACCTGTAATCCCAGCACTTTGGGAGGCCGAGGCAGGTGGATCGCCTGAGGTCAGGAGTTCCAGACCAGCCTGGCCAACATGACGAAACCCCGTCTCTACTAAACATACAAAAATTAGCCAGCTGTGGTGGTGCATGCCTGTAATCCCAGCTACTCGGGAGGCTGAGGCAGGAAAATCGCTTGAACCCAGGAGGTGGAAGTTGTAGTGAGCTATCACACCACTGCACTCTAGCCTGGGAGAAAGAGTGAAACTCCATCTCAAAAAAAAAAAAAAAAGATTTGTGCACTCCACTCTATAAAAATTTTACTGAAAAATGTTAATGAGGTGCATGCTTAGTATTGGGAGAAAGTGTAGTGGTGTCTGCAGTCTCTTTTTGAAGTTAATCACAAAAGAAAATAAGACGGATGGATGGAGGGATAAGTAATAAGGCAAAGGAAGATAAATATTAAGCAAGGTACAGTGGCATGAGTCTGTGCTCCCAGCAACTCAGGAGGCTGGTGCAGGAGGATCACTGGAGCCTAGAAGTTCAAGGCTGCTCTGTGGGTATGATTGCACCTGTGAATAACCACTACACTGTAGCCGGGACAACATAGCGAGACCCTGTCTGAAAGAAAGAAAGAAAGAAAGAAAGAAAGAAAGAAAGAAAGAAAGAAAGAAAGGAAGGAAGGAAGGAAGGAAGGGAGAAAGAGAGAGAAAGAAAGAAAGAAAGAAAGAAAGAAAAGAGAGAGAGGGAGGGAGTGAGTGAGTGGAAGGGAAGGGAAGGGAAGGGAAAGGAAAGGAAAGAAAGAAAGAGGGAGAGAAAAGAAAGAAAGAAAGAGAAAAAGAGAAGGGAGAGAAAGGAAAGAAACAGAGAGAAAGGAAGGAAAGAAAGAAAGGGAAGGAAAAAGAGAGAGAGAAGGAAGGAAGGAAGGAAGGAAGGAAGGAAGGAAGGAGAAAAGATTAACAGTAGACTAGAATCCAGGTGATAACTATCTAGGTTTTCACTGTAATATTCTTTTTTTTTTTTTTGAGGCAGAGTTTTCACTCTTGTCACCCTGGCTGGAGTGCAGTGGCACCATCTCAGCTCACTGCAACCTCCGCCTCCTGGGTTCAAGCAATTCTCCTGCCTCGGCCTCCCGAGTAGCTGGGACTACAGGTGCATGCCATCACACCCAGGTAATTTTTGTATTTTTAGTAGAGAAGGGGTTTTGTCAAGTTGGCCACGCTGATCTTGAACTCCTGACCTGAGGTGATCCACCCTCCTCGGCCTCCCAAAGTGCTGGGATTACAGGCGTGAGGCACCATGCCCAGCCTGCATTGCACTTTTTTTTTTTTTAAATATGGGTGAGACGCTCTCTCCTGTTGTCCCGCCATGACCCCTGAGAACTAAGCTCTGATTTTTTTATCTTGCCCAAATTCCTACCTAAGGCGTTTGAGGAGTCATGCCTTACAAACCATAAATTCTCATCAGATGGGTTGTATTTAATCCTCTATGGTGTGACTTACTTTCCAATCTGACTCTGGCATAGCATTACAACACAAGGAAGAAAATAAAAATATTTTACCCCAAAACATGTTTCTCTGCCATATTTTGAAATTGCCCTGCAAAGTCTCTTGTGGGAAAAATCCACATTCTTTACAGAACCCCGTTTCTCCTTTGTTTTCCCTTCTTCCTTTCCAGGCCCAGGAGAGCCAGGCACTCTTTTTTTTTTTTGAGACAGAGTTTCACTCTTTTTGCCCAGGCTGGAGTGCAACGGCACAATCTCGGCTTACCGCAACCTCCACCTCCCAGGTTCAAGCAATTCTCCTGCCTCAGCCTCCCAACTAGCTGAGATTACAGGCATGCACCACCACGCCCAGCTAATTTTGTATTTTTTAGTAGAGACAGGGTTTCTCCATGTTGGTCAGGCTGGCTTTGAACTCCCGACCTCAGGTGATCCGCCTGCCTCGACCTCCCAAAGTTGCTGGGATTACAGGTGTGAGCCACCGTGGCCGGCCCAGGCACTCTTTTAGGTCCTGTAAGAAGCATTTTACACCCTGCCCTCTCTCTCTGAAGTCAGCTTCCTCTGCACAATAAAACCTGGTCTCCACGATCCTTTAGCTTAACCTGAACATTTCCTTTCTATTGATTCCGGGTCTTCAGAGAAAACTCAACCAATTGTCAATCAGAAAATGTTTAAATTGCACGCCTCACCCCACCCTTTGTGTTGTTCCACCTTTCTGAACCACGCCAATGTATTTCTTTCTTTTTTTTTTTTTGAGACAGAGTATCACTCTGTAGCCCAGGCTGGAGTGCAATGGCATGATCTTGGCTTACTGCAACCTCCGCCTCCCGGGTTCAAGCGATTCTCCTGCCTCAGCCTCCTGAGTAGCTGGGACTGCAGGCATGCGCTACCACGCCTGGCTAATTTTTGTATTTTCAGTATAGACAGGGTTTCACCATGTTGATCAGGCTGGTTTTGAACTCCTGACCTTGTGATCCGCCCTCCTCGGCCTTCCAAACCCAATGTATTTCTTTTTTCTTTTCTTTTCTTTCTTTCTTTCTTTTTTTTTTTTTTTGAGACAGAGTCTCGCTCTGTCGCCCAGGCTGGAGTGCAATGGTCCGATCTCGGCTCACTGCAACCTCCGCCTCCCGGGTTCAAGCAATTCTCCTGCCTCAGCCTCCTGAGTAGCTGGGACTATAGGTGCATGCCACCACACCTGGCTAATTCTTTGTATTTTTAGTAGAAATGGGGTTTCACCATCTTGGCCAGGCTGCTCTTGAACTGTCAGGCCTCTAAGCCCAAGCTAAGCCATCCTATCCCCTGTGACCTGCATCTATACATCCAGATGGCCTGAAGCAACCGAAGATCCACAAAAGAAGGGAAAATAGCCTTAACTGATGATATTCCACCATTGTGATTTGTTCCTGCCCCACCCTGACTGATCAATGTACTTTGTAATCTTCCCCACCCTTAAGAAGGTTCTTTGTAATCTCTCCCACCCTTAAGAAGGTTCTTTGTAATTTTCCCCACCCTTGAGAATGTACTTTGTGAGATCCACCCCCTGCCCGCAAAACATTGCTCCTAACTCCACCGCCTGTCCCCAAACCTGTAAGAACTAATGATAATCCCACCACCCTTTACTGACTCTGTTTTCGGACTCAGCCCGCCTGCACCCAGGTGAAATAAACAGCCTTGTTGCTCACACAAAGCCTGTTTGGTGGACTCTTCACACGGACTCGCGTGACACTAACCTCATGATCCACCTGCCTCAGCCTCCCAAAGTGCTGGGATTACAGGCGTAAGCCACCGCGCCCGGCTTCAAGATGTTTTCATACATAGGTATGGGGGGCCCAGCAGATGAGATGGACCACTGAGAAGACAGTTTGTCACAGTTCTCAAGAGGAAGGGACATGCCAGGCCAGGCAGGACACCCAGAGAGCACCAGGGCCGAGGGAGCATGCAGGTCACACGGGAGAGCACGAGGGATCAGAGGCAGAGGGAGTGAGGGCGGAGAGAGGGCAAGAGCTTGATTTGGTTTTTGCAGGAATGAGTGGGTGGGGCAGGGTAAACAGGTTTGTGATTAGCTAATTTGAATAATTTCAGCAGGGCCTGGGGCATTGGGCCTACTCTAGTGGTCTGGTTCCTGGCCCTGGGTGATGAAGGCAGGTGCACAGCAGCCCTGAGTGTGAGAGCTCAGAAATGGAGGTGGCTGGGGGCTGGGCTCTGGACTGTTTGGTTTGCACATGAAAGGTGTGATTGAAAGACTTGTTGGCCGGGCGCGGTGGCTCACGCCTGTAATCCCAGCACTTTGGGAGGCTGAGATGGGTGGATCACCTGAGGTCAGGAGTTGGAGACCAGCCTGGCCAACATGGTGAAACCCCGTCTCTACTAAAATACAAAAAAAAAAAAAAAAAAAATTAGCCAGGTGCAGTGGCAAATGTCTGTAATCCCAGCTACTCGGGAGGCTGAGGCAGAGAATCGCTTGCACCATGAGGCGGAGGTTGCAGTGAGCCAAGATCGCGCCACTGCACTCCAGCCTGGGTGAGAGAGCAAGACTTTGTCTCAAAAATAAATAAATAAATAGAAATGTTAACAGTAGCTTTGTTCACAAGAGCCCCCAAGACTGGAAACAGCCAGGTGTTCATCAGTGGAAGAAAGGATAAATAAACCACGGAACCCCGTACAATGCAATCCTGCCCCGCAGTGAAAATGAACGGACTGTGGACACACACAGCAGCACGGGTGAATCTCAGAAACTTTGAGCTGAGTGGAAGAAGCCAGAGAGGAGAGTTCAGTTTTCTGAGAGTTTATGATTCTGCTTGCGTGAAGTCCCAGAACAGTTGAAATTAGTCTATAGTGAAAAAATAATAATATCAGAAGAGTGGTAGCCTCCAGGGGAGTAAAGGCAAGATGTGACTGGGCAGGTGCATTTGGGAGCTTGCTGTGACAATGGCCATATTCTATGTCTCCATAGGGGCTTCAGTATATAATTTTAAAACACGCTTAGGCCGGGAACGGTGGCTCACGCCTGTAATCCCAGTACTTTGGGAGGCCGAGGCAGGAGGATCATGAGGTCAAGAGATCGAGACAATTTTGGCCAACATGGTGGAACCCTGTCTCTACTAAAAATACAAAAATTAGCCAGGCGTGGTGACAGGCACCTGTAGTCCCAACTGCTTGGGAGACTGAGGCAGGAGAATTGCTTGAACCCGAGAATCGCTTGAGCCAAGATCGTGCCACTGCACTCCAGCCTGGTGACAGAGCGAGACTCTGGCTCAATAAATAAATAAATAATAAATAAATAAAACAAACAAAAAAACCCACACAGTTAATGGTGTACTTAAGATGTGTGCAACAGCCGGGTGTGGTGGCTCACACCTGAAAATCCCAGCACTTTGGGAGGCTGAGGCGGGCAGATCAATAGGTCAAGAGTTCAAGACCAGCCTGGTCAACATAATGAAACCCTGTTTCTACTAAAAATACAAAAATTAGCTGGGCATGTTGGCTCATGCCTGGAATCCCAGCACTTTGGGAGGCCGAGGCGGGCAGATCACTTGAGGTCAGGAGTTTGAAACTAGCCTGGCCAACATCATGAAACCCCGTTTCTACTAAAAATAAAAAAAAAAATTTAGCTGGGCATGGTGGCAGACACCTGCAATCCCAGCTATGTGGGAGGCTGAGGCAGGAGAATCGCTTGAACCTGGGAGGCAGAGGTTGCAGTGAGTCAAGATCATGCCACTGCACTCTAGCCTGGGCGACAGAGCAGGACTCTGTCTCGAAAAAGAAAAAAAGTTGTGAATGGTTGAGTCTGGGTGTCTGGGTGGTGTGGATGGGGTATTCATTCTAAGATTCTTTCAACTCTTCTCTATGCTTGAAAAATTTTTATAATAAGATGTTGAAGGAAAAACTCATCCTCTACCAACCTTCTCACCCCAGATTTGTCGATCTCCTTTAATTACAAAAAAAAAAAAAAAAAAAAAAAAAAAGACGTGGGGCACCTGGCACAAAGTGTGTGGGAAGAGGTTTTATTTTGGGAACCACCTTGGCTGCTATGCACCGTGGCAAGTCATAATTTGTCATTTTCCGCTTTCCGTGTATGAACCTTTTTGCTACTTGGAAAGAGGTCCCTGTCAGTCTGAGTCTTAGTGGGAAGTCTGGTTCTGCCTTCCTCTGTGGAGGGAAAGGTGGAATCCATTCTATCCTTTGAGGTGGAGAGTGGGATCCCCCATCACACGGCCCAATGTGGGCCTTTTTTTTTTTTAAAGAGATGGAGTCTGGCTGTGTTGCCCAGGCTGGAGTGCAGTGGTGAGATCTCCCGTCACTGCAACCTCTGACTCCCTGGTTCAAGTGATTCTCCTGCCTCAGCCTCCCAAGTAGCTGGGATTACAGGCATGCGCCACCACACCCAGTTAATTTTTGTATTTTTAGTAGAGATGGGTTTGCATCATGTTGGCCAGGATGGTCTTGATCTCCTGACCTCATGATCCACCAACCTCGGCCTCCGAAAGTGCTAGGATTACAGACGTGAGTCACCGCGCCCAGCCTTTTTTTTTTTTTTTTTTTTTTGAGATGGAGTTTTGCTCTGTCGCCCAGGCTGGAATGCAGTGGCTCGACCTCAGCTCACTGCAGCCTCTGCCTCCCGGGTTCAAGCGATTCTCCTGCCTCAGCCTCCCGAGTAGCTGGGATTACAGGCATGCGCCACCACGCCTAGCTAATTTTGTATTTTTTAGTAGAGACGGGGTTTCTCCGTGTTGGTCAGGCTGGTCTCGAACTCCCGACCTCAGGTGATCCGCCCGCCTTGGCCTCCCAAAGTGCTAGGATTACAGGCGTGAGCCACCGCACCCGGCCTTTTTTTTTTTTTTTTTTTGAAATGGGGTCTCCCTCTGTTGTTCAGGCTGGAGTACAGTGGTGCGGTCTCGGCTCACTGCAATCTCCACCTCTCAGGTTTTAGCTATTCTCCTGCCTGAGCCTCCCAAGTAGCTGGGATTACAGGCGCCTGACCCCACGCCTGGCTAATTTTTTTTTGTATTTTTAGTAGAGACGGGGTTTCACCATGTTGGCCAGGCTGGTCTCGAACTCCTGACGTCATGATCCACCTGCCTCAGCCTCCTAAAGTGCTGGGATTATAGGCATGAGCCACCACGCCCGGCCTGACCATTTTCTTTTCTTTTTTTTTTTTGTTGTTTTTTTGAGATGGAGTCTCGCTCTGTGGCCCAGGCTGGAGCGCAGTGGTGTGATCTCCGCTCACTGCAAGCTCCACCTCCCGAGTTCACGCCATTCTCCTGCCTCAGCCTCCTGAGTAGCTGAGACTACAGGCAACCGCCAACACACCCGGCTAATTTTTTGTGTTTTTAGTAGAGATGGGGTTTCACCATGTTGGCCAGGATGGTCTCGATCTCCTGACCTCGTGATCCACCTGCCTCGGCCTCCCAAAGTGCTGGGATTACAGGCGTGAGCCACGGCGCCTGGCCCGGCCTGACTATTTTCTTACAGCAAATTCTGCAGGGCCTTTCTATGACTCTTCCCATAAGATAGATGCTACTCTCTGCAACAAGGAAAAATAATGTGGCATTCTGGCTAAATTCCTTTATGAAGCCTATCTCTGCTTAGAGGTTATATGAGGTTTAGAGGTTTATGTGAAGTGTCAGTGTAATACAGAGGAAAGAGAGGGACTGCTCAGTGGTGAGTCTTACATGGCAAAATAGAGATTATGTTTTCTGCCCTAAGCATGGTAAGAAAACCGGTTAGACTCCCTCTCCACCTTAAGCAGCTGCCCTGCTGTGCCTGTAAGGGCTTGGCTGTGGGATATAAGGAACCCTCTGTCTCTGCTCCCTTAAAACAAGCAAGCCACACCTGCTGGGGTGGGTCCTAGGCTGGTAGAGCTGTAAGGCAATCCTATTTTTGGTGGAAGCCTGAAAGCAACCTATATAATCCATACATATTCATAAGGTTTGCCTTGTGCGGTGTGGTAGGCAGCCTCCCAGATGGTCCCCAATAATCCTCACCTCCTGGTATTTATAGCATCATGTAATCCCGTCCTTTTAAGGATGATTGTGTGACTTGCATTCTGTTAGCAGACTCTTTTTGCCTGCTTAGTTTGCATACTTTGATGAAACAAAGCTATCCTGTTGCAGAAAACTTTCATGGCAAGGAACTGAGGGGTGGCTTCTGGCCAAGAGTCAGCAAAGAACTGAACTGCCAGCAACACCATGAAATCAACAGAACCTTGAGATGGCCACAAAGCTGCTGGCCCCTTGATTGCAGCCCGGGAGAGACCCTGAAGCTGAAGACCCAGCCGGGCTGTGCTCAGATCCCTGATTCACGGAAATCGCAAGACAATAAACGTGTGTTGTCTGAAGCTGCTCCCTTTGAGGTGATTTGTTACACAGCAATAGCTAACTGATACATATAGAAATAAAGAGAGGCCGGGTGCAGTGGCTCACGCCTGTAATCTCAGCACTTTGGGAGGCCGAGGCGGGTGGATCAGGAGGTTAGGAGATTGACACCACAATGAAACCCCATCTCTACTAAAAATACAAAAAATTAGCCAGGCGTGGTGGCGGGTGCCTGTAGTCCCAGCTACTCAGGAGGCTGAGGCAGGAGAATGGCGTGAACCCGGGAGGTGGAGCTTACAGTGAGCTGAGATCGAGCCACTGCACTCCAGCCTGGGTGACAGGGTGAGACTCCGTCTCAAAAAAAGAAAAAGAAAGAAATAGAAAATAAAATCTTGGGTCTTTCTTTTGATATCTTGATCAAGAAAGTTTGATCACTTTACCAAACATGTATTATGTATTTTTCATAAATAAAAGAGAATTTATAAAACAGCTTGAATCATGAAACATTAACGAAACGGCCTCACTTAGCCCACCATCCAATTAAGAGCTACAATCTCATCCCGACCACCTCATCTACCTGGAATCTCCTTCCATTCTCATCCTCCACTTTCCTCCTCTGCAGAAGTAACTGTGCTTGTCGTTCCCTTATTTGTTTTATTTTATTATTTTATTTTATTCTACTTTAAGTTCTGAGACAGAGTCTCACACTGTTGCCCAGGCTGGAGTGCGGTGGAATGATCTCGGCTCACTGCAAACTCTGCCTCCCAGGTTCAAGTAATTCTCCTGCCTCAGCCTCCCGAAGAGCTGGGATTACAGGCGCGCACCACCATGCCTGGCTAATTCTTGTATTTTCAGTAGAGACGGGGTTTCACCATGTTGTCCAGGCTGGTCTCAAACTCCTGACCTCAGGTGATCTGCCCGCCTCAGCCTCCCAAAGTGCTGGGATTATAGGCGTGAGCCACTGCACCTGGCCCCTTATTTGTTTAAAATAGTGTCTCTAAACCACATATTGGAATGAACTTGGTAAAAATGACAACAGAAACCATGAATTTTTTTTTGAAATGATTCGTGAAATCATTTTCAATGCCATAGTTTGAAGCTTTCCAATATAGGTCTATATCACAGTTTTTGTATTTTTGTACCTGTTGATGAACACATGGGCTTCTTTTATTTTAGTTACTTTTCTATTTCTATTTATTTTACTTTCCCTATTACGTAACAGACATTTTTTACATGTTTCTTGGTGCATATGTGCAAGAATTTTTAAAGAGTATACATATAAGAATGGAATGATTGCGCTATAGGGATTGTTAGTTTCAATTTTTTGAAATAGTGTCAAAGTGTTTCCAAAAGTAGCCTTACCAATTTTTTCCTGGCTTAATTGAGATATGATTGACAAATAAAAGCGTATATATTTGGTCAGGCGCGGTGGCTCATGCCTGTAATCCCAGCATTTTGGGAGGCCGAGGCGGGTGGATCACAAGGTCAGGAGATCGAGACCATCCTGGCTAACACGGTGAAACCCCGTCTCTACTAAAAAAAAAAATACAAAAATTAGCCGGGCGCCTGTAGTCCCAGCTACTCGGGAGGCTGAGGCAGGAGAATGGTGTGAAGCCGGGAGGCGGAGATTGCAGTGAGCCGAGATTGCGCCACTGCACTCCAGCCTGGGCGACAGAGCGAGACTCCGTCTCAAAAAGAGAAGTGTATATATTTAAGGTGTACAACATGATGTTTTGACATATGTACACATTGTGAAATAATTACCATAATCAAGATGTTTAACATATCCATCACCTCACTTTTTTTTCTGAGACAGAGTCTCATTCTGTCACTCAGCCTAGAGTGCAGTGGTGCGATCTCAGCTCACGGCAAACTCCACCTCCCACGTCAAGTGATTCTTGTGCCTCAGCCTCCCGAGTAGCTGGGATTACAGGTGTGTGCCACCACGTCTGGCTAATTTTTGTATTTTTTGTAGAGATGGGGTTTGGCCATGTTGCCCAGGCTGGTCTCAAACTGCTGACCTCAAGTGATCCACTTGCCTCAGCCTCCCAAAGTGCTTGGATTATAGGTGTGAGCCACCGTTCGTGGCCACATAGTTGTCATTTTTGCGTGTGTGGCGAGAGCCCTTACGATCTATTCTGCTAACAATGTTTAAGTACATAATACATTTTCACTAATTTGTCACCATGTTGCACAACAGATCTCTTGAATTTATTTTTTTCTATCTAAAATTGTGTACCCTCTGACCACGATCTTCCCAATCCCTACTCCCCTTCCCAAGCCCCTGGTCACCACCATTCCGCTCTCTGCTTCTGTGAGTTCAACTTTTTTTTTTTTTTTTTTTTTGAGACAGAGTCTCACTCTGTCGCCCAGGCTGGAGTGCAGTGGCGCAATCTCGGCTCACTGCAACCTCCGCCTCCCAGGTTCAAGCCATTCTCCTGCCTCAGCCTCCCGAGTAGCTGGGATTACAGGCATGCACCACCACGCCTGGCTAATTTTGAATTTTTAGTAGAGACGGGGTTTCTCCATATTGGTCAGGCTGGTCTCGAACTCCCAACCTCAGGTGATCTGCCCGCCTTGGTCTCCCAAAGTGCTGACAGGCGTGAGCCACCGTGCCCAGCCTCCCGAGTAGGTTTTGCCATGTTGGCCATGGCTAGTCTCGAAGGCCTGAGTTCAACTTTTTAATATTCCATGTATAAGTGAGGTTGTGCGATATTTGTCTTTCTGTATCTGGCTTATTTCATGTGGCATGATGTCCTGAAGGTTGACAATTACATCCATACTGTAAATGACAGGGTTTCCTTCCTTTCTAAGGCTGGATAGTATTTCCACTGTGTATATATACATTTCCTTTACCCATTGTCCACTGATGGAGACTTAGGTGATTCCATATGTTGGCTATTGTGAATAACTCTGCAATACACATAGGGGTGCAGACATCTCTTCCACACACTGGTTTCAGTTTCTTTGAGCATATACCCAGTAGTGGGATTGCTGCATCATGGAGGGTAAGCTTTTTTTGTTTTGTTTTGAGACAGAGTCTCGCTCTGTCGCTCAGGCTGGAGTGCAGCAATCTCGGCTCACTGCAAGTTCCGCCTCCCGGGTTCAAACTATTCTCCTGCCTCAGCCTCCCGAGTGGCTGGGACTACAGGTGCCTGCCACCACGCCCGGCTAATTTTTTGTATTTTTAGTAGAGATGGGGTTTCGCCATGTTGGCTAGGCTGGTCTCGATCTCCTGACCTCAGGGGATCCGCCTGCCTCAGCCTCCCAAAGTGCTGGGATTACAGGCGTGAGCCACCGCGCCCGGCCACAAAAGCAAATTTATGACAGGGACCTGGTGATGCGTGCTGCATCACACCACATCCTTCCATTCCTTTTCACAAAGAGACTCTAGTGGCTCATGCCTGTAATCCCAGCACTTTGGGAGGCCGAAGCGGGCGGATCACAAGGTCAGGAGTTCGAGACCAGCCTAGCCAACATGGCGAAACCCCATCTCTACTAAAAACACAAAAATTAGCCAGTCACGGTGGCTCACATCTGTAATCCCAGCACTTTGGGAGGCCAAGGCCCACAGATCACAGGGTCAGGAGTTCAAGACCAGCCTGGCCAACATGGGGAAACCCATCTCTACTAAAAATACAAAAATTAACCAGGCGTGGTGGCAGGCGCCTGTAATCCCAGCTACTTGGGAGGCTGAGGCAGGAAAATCACTTGAAACCGGGAGGCGGAAGTTGCAGGGAGCTGAGATCGTGCCACTGCACTCCAGCCTGGGCGACAAGAGTGAAACTTTGCCTCAACAACAACAACAACAACAACAAAAAAAAAAAAAAAAAGAAAAGAAAAGAAAAGAAAAAGAAATGATGCCAGGCATGGTGGCTCACGCCTATAATCCCAGCACTTTGGGAGATCGAGGCGGGTGGATCATCTAAAGTCAGGAGTTCGAGACCAGCCTGACCAACATGGTGAAACCCCATCTACTAAAAATACAAAAATTAGCCGGGCGTGGGGGCAGGTGCCTATAATCCCAGCTGCTCGGGAGGCTGAGGCAGGAGAATCGCTTGAACCTGGGAGACGGAGCTTGCAGTGAGCCGAGATCACAGCCACCGCACTCCAGCCTGGGCAGCAGAGCGAGACTCTATCTCAAAAATAAATAAATAAGTAAATAAGTAAATAAATAAATAAATAAATAAATAGATAGATAGATAGAAATGAGCTCTCAAGCCATGAAAAGACACAGAGGAACCTTAAATGCATATTACCAAGTGGTAGAATCCCATCTGAAAAGGCTACGCATTGTCTGATTCCAACAATATGACATTCTGGAAAAGGCAAAGTATGGAGACAGGAAAAGATCAGAGCTGCCAGGGGTTGGGCGAAGGAAGGATGAATAGGTGGTGCACAGAGGAATTTTAGGGCAATGGCTCTCCTCTGTCTAACACTGTGACGGTGGGTGCCTGCCATTAGACATTTGCCTGAACTCATAGGATGTGCAACAGGAAGACTGAGCGAGCCCTAATATGACTTTGGGTGATTACAATGTGTCAATGCAGGCTCATCAGTTGTAATAAAAATACCGCTCTGGTAGGGAACGCTGGTAATGGGGGAAGCTATGTAGGTGTCGGCGTAGGGAGTACATGGAAAATCTCTACCTTCCCCTCATTTTACTATGAACCTGAACCTGCTCTAAAAATAGTCTTTTTAAAACATTTTTCTTCCTCTTCCTCCTCTTCCTCTTCTTCCTCTTCCTCTTCTTCTTCTTTCTTCTTTCTTCTTCTTATTCTTATTTTATTTTATTTTTTTTGAGACGGAGTCTCGCTCTGTCGCCCAGGCTGGGGTGCAGTGGCGCGATCTCAGCTCACTGCAAGCTCCACCTCCCGGGTTCACACCATTCTCCTGCCTCAGCCTCCCCAGTAGCTGGGACTGCAGGCGCCCGCCACCACGCCCGGCTAATTTTTCTGTGTGTTTTTAGTAGAGACGGGGTCTCCCCGTGTTAGCCAGGATGGTCTCGATCTCCTGACCTCGTGATCCATCCGCCTCGGCCTCCCAAAGTGCTGGGATTACAGGCGTGAGCCACTGCGCCCGGCTAAAAATAGTCTTTTAAAGAAAATTTCTCAACCCAAGCACTACTGTATGGAGACAGGGAGGGTCTCCAGGGATTATAGGAATTTAATCAACTTGAGCAATCAGCCTGTTTCACAGCCTTCTGCCCTGCAGCCTGTTTTTCTCCAAACCCTGTGTGGAATGCGGCCACTCGTTGGTTGGAACCAGCCTCTGACGGGCCCTGGCAACTTAGAGATGAACCCGAGTGAACTTTCTGCACTGCTGCGCTCAAGTCTCCATCCCGGGAGGAGCTGTAGTCTCGTTACCGTAACATGCGACCCGTGTGCTGGTATGACGACTCGCTGCATCTGCGTGACTGGGACCCTCCTCCACATACAACGACGCGCCCTCTCCCTGCTCCCTCACCCCATAGAGCCCTCCTGTCCCTTTTCCTCAGGGAGACACTGCTTTGAAGAATACACCCAGTGCCTTCCTTAGCTGTGTCAAGTCATAAAACTCTTCTTGATCAAAACCTCTGTATTAGTTTGTTCTCATGCTGCTAATAAAGACATACCCGAGACTGGTTCATTTACAAAGGAAAGAAGTTTAATGGGCTCATAGTTCCACTTGGCTGGGGAGGGCTAACAATCATGGCGGAAGATGAAGGAGGAGCAAAGTCACGTCTTACATGGCAGCAGGCAAGAAAGAGCGTGCAGGGGCGCTCCCATTTATAAAACCATCAGATCTCGTGAGACTTATTCACTATCACGAGAACAGAATGGGAAAAACCTGCTCCCGTGATTCAGTCGCCTCCCACAGGTCCCTCCCATGACACGTGGGGATTATTATTATTATTATTTTGAGACGGAGTCTCGCTCTGTCACCCAGGCTGGAGTGCAACGGCGTGATCTCAGCTCACTGCAACCTCCACCTCCCAGGTTCAAGTAATTCTCCTGCCTCAGCCTCCCGAGTAGCTGGGACTACAGCTGCCCGCCACCACGCTCGGCTAATTTTTTGTATTTTTAGTAGAGACGGGTTTCACTGTGTTATCCAGGATGGTCTCGATCTTCTGACCTCATGATCTGCCTGCCTCAACCTCCCAAAGTGCTTGGATTACAGGCGTGAGTCACTGCCCCCCATCGACACGTGGGGATCATTACAATACCAGGTGAGATTTGGGTGGGGACACAGAGCCAAACCACATCACCTGCATTCTCGGGAGAGTTGTTTGCTCCTCACCAGGCAAAGGAACCCTGTTTTTTTCTGGGTAACACTGTTGACTTTCGGGGCTAGGTTATTCCTTGGGGGAGGAGCTGTCCTGTGCATCCCCCGCCTCCACCCCCCACCACCCAGAAGCATCCCCCTCTCCTCTGGGTTGTGACAATCAAAAGTGTCTCCAGACTTTCCCTAGTGTCTGCATTTGGGACCCTTCTATTATTACTGCTGATTCCATGAGTACATGGTAATTACCCGCTGAGTTCCAGGGACTCCACTATAATTATCCAGCTGGTTTTGGGAGCTCCTGGTGCAATTATCCAGCTGGTTCCTGAGACTGCACCGCGATTCCTTAGCTGATTTCCATGACTCTACACACTGCCAGCGCCTGTACATAATTATACACTAGTTTCTAGAGCCTTTCTGTAATTATTCAGCCTTTTATAGAAATCTAATCATAACTACCTGGGCAATTTGTTTTGTTAAGTAGAGTGCTAATGAGTGGTCGCCAATGTTTCAGCTCCTCTTCTGAGTACCAGGGACGTGGGTAGAACTTTGATCCTATCTTATCCTTACAGGATATTGAGAGGAGAGGAGAGAAGTTGACATGGCACCACCCAGTGGAATGACATAGTCAGCACAGAGTGCAGTGGGAGCACAGAGGAAGAGTGCCAGGCCCATCGTGTCCAGCTGTGTAGGTTGTGCACTGCACAACTCTGGGGTCATATCACAAACTGTGAGTGTGAAGAGCCTTGTAAGGCTTCCAGGACAGGTTTCTAGGGGTCACCAGATGCAGTTCTAGAGCAAGGCTGAGGAATCCTGACTCCTAGAAAGAAGGGGGCAGGGAATTGCTGAGGACGTTTGAAGTCTAATGGGATGACACGTCCCCTGCTGTGACAGGCAGCTCAGGTTTCTAGTTGAAGTCTGGGAAGAAGAAGGCTCCATGAAGGCGCTTCTATTTGGAGTCATTTGTGTTACTTCCCAGCTCACTCAGGGTGATCATGGTGACCAACAGGGCTCTACACAGGACCTGTGGCCCCAACCCTCACCCCTCTGCATTCTCTTCCTGCCACTTCCCTCTTCCTACCCCTCTGTCTGCAACTGCCACACTATTCCCCCTGCTGAGCTTTGCACCCTCCAGACCCCCTGGACCACCGCTGCACTTTCTCATTTATCCAAATCACTCTCACCTTCTAGCTGACTGTGACTGTATAATGCCTGTGGGTTACTGCCCCTCTCCTTCTGCAAGAATATAAGCTCTTCCATGGAAAGGGTGTTTGTTTTCTATATTGGTGGACCTCTAGAGCCTCAAACAGTGTCTGGCACACAGGACAGGACCAACAAATACTTACTGAATGAAAAAAATGAATGCCAGATGGAAAAAATAAAAATGAACTAAGCAGGGAGTTTCTCCACTGTGGCCACAAGAGGGAGCCCAAGCTATGTGTTAAACCCTTCCAGCACTAAGGTGGGTGGTCTCTCTGCTCCTCAGCCTGGAGGACCAGGGACAGGTGTGACCTGAACCACGTCCTTTCTCCTCTGTGAGCCTCTATTTCCCCATGTGTAGCGTGGAGATGGAAATGCCTGAAAGGAGTTCCCGTAAGAAGCGGAAAAACCAACAACGCATGCACGTGAATGTCTTCCAAGGGGTTATTGCATGTGTCCAAATTCATCTGATTGTGTACATTAAGTGAGAAGGTTTTTTAGTAGAACAATTATAGCTAAACAAAGCTGCTAAAAATAAATGGAACAAAAATAAAGGAGAATTGCATTGAACAACAACATCCAAACCATTAGGCTAGCACAGGAAACTTGAAGGAGAGTAATCCAGCCCCTGATAAATCAACAGAGTAAGAAATATTAGTTACAGAAAGTGACCATAATGTTACCTTGGGATATTATTAAAGCATAAAACTAAATGGAAATTATGAAGCTGAAAAGTACAATAAATTTCTAGCAAGAGCCGGATGTGGTGGCTCATGCCTGTAATCCCAGCATTTTGGGAGACTGAGGGGAGTGGATCACCTGAGGTCAGGGGTTTGAGACCAGCCTGGCCAACATGGTGAAACCCCGTCTCTACTAAAAATACAAAAACTTAGCCAGGCATGGTGGTGCATGCCTGTAATCCCAGCTACTCAGGAGGCTGAGGCAGGAGAATTGCTTGAACTCGGGAGGTGGAGGTTGCAGTGAGCCGAGATTGCGCCATTGCACTCCAGCCTGGGCAACAAGAGCGAAACTCTGTCTCAACAATAACAACAACAGCAGCAACAACAACAAAAATCCTAGCACGATGAAGACATATTCACTAAAATCAATCATATGTCTATATACTGACAAAAATAATTCAATAATGAAATTAGGAGAGCAATTTTATTTACAAAGCCTCAAAAATAATAAAATGAATAGAAACCAATTTAATAAAGAAATGCAAGATGTGTACACTAAGAACTACAAAAGATTGCTGAGGGAAATTAAAGATCTAAATAAAGAGAGAAACACTTCATACATTCACAATGGCATGCAAAATAATAAGAAATAAAATTGGGCCAGGTGCAGTGGCTCACGCCTGTAATCCCAGCACTTTGGGAAGCCAAGGTGGGTGGATTGCTTGAGTTTGGGAGTTTGAGAACAGCCTGGGCAACATGGTGAAACCCTAGCTCTACAAAAAATACAAAAATTAACTGGGTATGGTGATGTGTGCCTATAGTCCCAGCTACTTGGGGGGCCAAGGTGAGAGGATGGCTTGAGCCCAGGAGGCAGAGGCTGCAGTGAATTGAGATTGCTCCACTGCACTCCAGGCTGGGTGACAGAGTGAGACTCTGTTTCAAAATAAAAAGATGAAATAAAACGAACAAAACATGTTATCTTACAAAGCAGTATCATAATTTTAGGAACACACTGACCACATCCTTCCTCATTCTTAGGAAAGGAATCATGCTTC
The DNA here is from genome assembly GCF_000001405.40 of Homo sapiens. Taxonomy (NCBI): domain Eukaryota; kingdom Metazoa; phylum Chordata; class Mammalia; order Primates; family Hominidae; genus Homo; species Homo sapiens. The sequence continues at coordinate 370,762 of NW_003571055.2, read as the reverse complement.
TGGAGGTTGCCCTGTGGCCCTGTAATCACGTCCAAATATACGTGATTGGTAAACGTGAAATCATTAAGATGAGTTCCATGAAAAATAAGAAAACAGCAAGAAATAAAGTCAGAACTCAAAAGTGTTTTTTGTTTTGTTTTGTTTTGTTTTTGAGATGGAGTCTCGCTCCATCGCCCAGGCTGGAGTGCAGTGGCACGATCTCGGCTCACTGCAACCTCCACCTCGCGGGTTCAAGGAATTCTCCTGCCTTAGCCTCCCGAGTAGCTGGGACTACAGGCGCCAGCCACCACGCCCGGCTAATTTTTGTATTTTTAGTAGGGACAGGGTTTCACCTTGTTGGTAAGGCTGGTCTCGAACTCACCTCAGGTGATCCACCTGCCTCGGCCTTCCGAAGTGCTGGGATGACAGGCGTGAGCCACCGCGCCCGGCCCAAAAGTGTTTTATAAGGGTTGTTGGGATGACATTGTTAATTTCTACAATGTGCTCCAGTCTGAAGGACTGCAGACTGTGGATGGGGAGCTCAAGTTCAAAGGCCACCTTCTTCCCTTCCTAGCGGAGGATCTTTGGGCAAGCTGCTTAACTTTGCTGTGACGCTGTTTCTGCGTTGGTAAGAGGAGTAGCAATAGTATCCAACGTGAGTGTTTTAGGGGTCGTGAGATGAGTCAGTGCATGCCCAGTGCTTTGAACTGTATCTTGACAAAGCGAGAGCTTCATAGCCACTGTTATTGTGGTATCTCGTCTTTGAGCCACCACCTTTCCATCTGTAAAACAGACTTGGGGTGCTCCATCTCTCCAGTCTTGAAAGGTTCTTTGCAGTAGTTTGCAGTGTAGCAGGTCGTGCTGGGGCCCGAGAGGACTCCAAAGCAGTTCTTGTCCTGGAAAGTCTCAGCTTCCGGGGGCGCTGAGACGCCAGCTGCTGTTATGGCAGCTGAGTCCTGTACGGCACAGAGACACGGGACTGAACGTGAAGGCTGGAGAAGGGGGAGAAACTTGGAGGAGGGAAACTTGCTGCAGAGAAAATTTGGAAAGGTGGGGAGAGAGGAAGGCGTTGCCCGGGGGCACTGGGAGTCTGGGGAAGCCGTGGCATCCAGGTGGAGACGTTCAACAGGCAGCGAGAGTTTCGCCCGCAAGCAGGGAGGAGGGAGCTCACTTTTGTTTCTGAACCGGGGAGGCCGGGTTCTGTGCTGGGAGTTTACTCTGCACGGCTGCAGTTACTGCTGCACGGGAGTTACTGCTGCACGGGAGTTACTGCTGCACGGCTTTACTCCTCCCAGAGCCAGCGTCCTCGTCTATATATAAAACAGAGGTGAACATAGGAACCCTCTACAGGATCCTCGTGGGGATTAAATGAGGCTCGCAGATGGAAGCTGTTGCCTGCTGCGGAGCCTCTTCCTGCAGACGCAGATGTGGGTGTGGATAACACAGATCTGGGCGCAGATCTGCAGGGGCAGGTGCATCCGCCCCTCCCTGCGAGGATGGGAGCCCAGCCTTGCGCCGTGACTCCCAGGAGGGGAGGTTTTCTTCTAGGTACGGAGGCTCTTCTAGGGCTGGACACAGGCATCAGCCCGCAAGTTGCTGCTACTTAGGATGAGAGCAATGTGGGAACTGGCGCCCACAATCGACTTCTGTGAAGAAAAAAACAGGAACTTGAACTTGGGTGAAAAGTTGAGCGTCGTGGAATGCCTGGGAAAATAATTTTTAAAAAATTTAATACAGATAAAGGCAGAATAGCCACTACACACACCCTAGGTGCTGAGGCTCACGGGGCACACCTATGGGAGTCTCCCGGACCCCCAAACCTATAGAAGCTCTCTGCAGACACTTGCAATTACAAAAAAAAAAAAACCTTACTCTATCGAGGAATAATTGACATATAAAAAGCAGTATGTATTTAACATATACGACTTGATGAGTTTGGAGATGAGTATGCCCTGTGTGTCAACACCACAGTTTACGACATAAACCCATCCACCACCTCTCACAGGTTCCTCCCGTCTATTTGTATATTATTATTGTTTGATACTATTTTTATGGCCACATATCAATTTGTGATGATAAGAGCACTTAACAAAAGATCTATCTTCTCAGCAAATGTGTAAGCACACAATACTGTATTGTTACCTGCTGGCACTACACCGCACAGGAGGCTCTGAGACCTCCTCATCTTGCATGACTGAAACTCTAGGGAGAAAATCTGAAGGGGTCAGTCACAGAAGGAGGTCTTGACACCTTATCTGTTTCCACCTAAGCCTGTACTCCCAGCTCCTCATAGGTGGCCATTTTATTTTATCTTCTTAAACAAAAATAATTTTGTTTTTCCTAGTTACGACTGACACATGCTTAATGTAAAAAAATTCGGCCAGCACGGTGGCTCACCCCTATAATCCCAGCACTTTGGGAGGCTGAGGTGGGCAGATCGCCTGAGGTCGGGAGTTTGAGACCAGCCTGACCAACATGGGGAAACCCTGTCTCTACTAAAAATACAAAATTAGCTGGGCGTGGTGGCGTATGCCTCTAATCCCAGCTACTCAGGAGGCTGAGGCAGGAGAATCACTTGAACCCGGCAGGCGGAGGTGGTGGCGAGCCGAGATTGCACCATTGCACTCCAGCCTGGGCAACAAGAGTGAAACTCCATCTCAAAAAAAAAAAAAAATTCACCCAGGCATGGTGGCTCACACCTGTAATCCAAGCATTTTGGGAGACAGAGGCAGGCGGATCGCTTGAGCCCAGGAGTTAGATACAAAATACAAAAATTAGCCGGGTGTGCGTGGCACGCTTCTGAAGTCCCAGCTACTCGGGAGGCTGAGTTGGGAGGTTGACCTGAGCCCTGCGAGGTTGAGAGTGCAGTGAGCTACGATCGCGTCCTGCACTTCAGCCTGGGTGACAAGAGCAGGACCCTTTCTTTAAAAAAAAAAAGTCCAGGGACCAGGCGCGGTGGCTCATGCCTGTAATCCCAGCATTTTGGGAGGCCAAGGCTGGTGGATCACAAGGTCAGGAGATTGAGACCATCCCGGTCAACACGGTGAAACCCCATCTCTACTAAAAATACAAAAAATTAGCCTGGCGTGGTGGCGGGCGCCTGTGGTCCCAGCTACTTGGGAGGCCGAGGCAGGAGAATGGCATGAACCCAGAAGGCAGAGCTTGCAGTGAGCCGAGATGGCACCACTGCACTCCAGCCTGGGCGACAGAGCGAGACTCCGTCTCAAAAAAAAAAATCCAAATAAAACAACTCATAAAAAATGAAATGAGAGAATTTGAAACCCTCATTACCTCATGTTAATCACAGCAAACATTTCTGTTAACACTTTCTCAGAAATCTCTCCTTCCATAAACATGTGTGTAAATGTACATATATAACTTAATGTATGTAACTTCTACATACATGTGTTTTTCCTGTTTTGTTCACTCAACAATACCCTTGACATCTTTCATGTCAATAAAAGTAAAACAACATCATCCTTTTTTTTTTTTTTTCTTTGAGACAGAGTTTCGCTGTGTGGGGCAGCCCGGAGTGCAGTGGCACGATCTCAGCTCACTGCAACCTCCGCCTCCCAGGCTCAAGTGATTCTCCTGCCTCGGCCTCCTGAGTAGCTGGGATTACAGGTGTGCGCCACCATGCCAAGCTATTTTTTTTATTTTTAGTGGAGATGAGGTTTCATCCTGTTGGTCAGGCTGGTCTCAAACTCCTGACCTCAGGTGATCCGCCCGCCTTGGCCTCCCAAAGTGCTGGGATTACAGGCATGAGCCGCCGTGCCCGGCCAGCAGCATCATTTTTAATGCTAATCCAGTATTTCATTGCATAGGGGTGCCATTATTTAACCTTTAAATGTCCAGTAAACAATGGCCAATATTGTTTCTGATTCACTATTCGTTCTACAAGTATTTGCTGAGCATCTATTATGTGCCAGGCCCTAAGTACCGGTGATAGAGTGATGATCAAGACAGACAAGGTCCCTGGCCAAGTGAAGTCTCCATTCTAATGGGGAGAGAGGGACAGCGTACAAGTCAAAGAGTAGATAATTAGAAAGGAGGATGAACGTCAAGAGAGAATGAAGACAAATCTTCTTAGCAAAGGGATGGGTGTCAGGGGAGTGGACTTCTTTCAACAGAGTGATCTGAGAAGGCCCTTCTTGCTAAGATGATGCTGAGCAGAGACCTGGAGGCTGTGGTGCAAAGCAGGAGGTCAGTGCACCCAGGCAGAGACGCAGAGTCCCAAGGCAGGGAGGGACCTGGTGTCTTCAAGGAACAGCAGGAATGTCATGTGGCCTGAGGGCAGGGAGTGAGGGGCACAGGGACCAACATGAAACTGGAGAGGTGAGTGAGTGTCCCGTAGGTCACAGAGTTTGGGTTTTGGGCGAAGTACATCATGAATCACTGGAGATTTCAATGGTAGCGAGACATGATTTGACTGACCCTTTGAAAACATCACCCTGGCTACAATGAGGAGAACAGCTAAGAAGCAGCAAATGAACACAGAGACACCACTTAGGGAATGTTCCCTGGACGAGGAGAGAGAGGGTGAACCTGGCGCCGTGGTGCTGGCAAGCAGTGTCTGCATGAGGACAGATTCTGAAGGTAGAACAAGGGGAGAGGGTGAGAAAGAGGAGCAGTCGGAGGTGATTTCTAGGACCGCAGCTTGTTCAGGTGGGTGGACGGGGAAGAAAACGTGGGAGAGCCACAATTTTAACTTTCTCATATTAATCCTTCCAGTGTTTGTTTCTGGGTGAATATGAGTCAATATGAATGTATATTCTGATTCCCCCAATTCTTGGCACAATACAGATGACATCCTGATGTCGTTTAATCTCTAAGAATACACTCTGGGATCTCTCCATAGGAATACATAGGCTATTTTCTTCCTTCCTTCCTTCCTTCATTCCTTCCTTCCTTCCTCCCTCCCTCCCTCCCTCCCTCCCTCCCTTTCTTTCTTTCATTTTTTGAGACAGAGTCTCACTCTGTTGCCCGGGCTGAAGTACAGTGGTGCAATCTCAGTTCACTCCAACCTCCACCTCCCGGGTTCAAGCAGTTCTCCTGCCTCAGCTTCTGGAGTGGCTGGGACTACAGACATGCCTGGCTAATTTTTTTGTATTTTTAATAGAGACAGGGTTTCACCATGCTGGCCAGGCTGGTCTCGAACTACTGACCTTGTGATCTGCCCGCCTCGGCCTCCCAACGTGCTGGGATTACAGCCGTGAGCCACTGCACCCGGCCACAGGCTATTTTCAAACGCATTTCTCCCTTGTCAACTTCCAGAGTGACTGATGAGAAGTCTGATGTGATTATAATAATAGAAACCGGCCGGGCGCGGTGGTTCACGCCTGTAATCCCAGCACTTTGGGAGGCCGAGGTGGGCGGATCACGAGGTCAGGAGATCGAGACCATCCTGGCCAACATGGTGAAACCCCGTCTCTACTAAAAATACAAAAAATTAGCCGGGCGTGGTGGCGGGCGCCTGTAGTCCCAGCTACGCGGGAGGCTGAGGCAGGAGAATGGCGTGAACCCGGGAGGCGGAGCTTGCAGTGAGCTGAGATCGCGCCACCGCACTCCAGCCTGGGCGACAGAGTGAGACTCCGTCTCAAAAAAAAAAAAAAAAAAAAAAAAAAAAATAGAAACTTAGTGCACAGTTGTCTGTTTTCTCTCACCTAGAATATGTTTATTTTCTTTTTCTTTTGTTTCTGAAAGCGTCGTGACAATGCACCTGGGTGAGTTCCTTGGGCACTTACTGGGGCATTTCTTCTGTTAACCTTGTGTTTGCTGCTTTTCTGGACCCTTCCTGCACCTCCCCTTGACTTCCTTTCTCCTTCCAGCTCCACAAGTTGCATGCTCAGTAAGTAATTTCCCAAACTTCGTGTTTTCTAAAAAAAAAAAAAAAGTGTACATTTTCCCCTAAGTAGGACTTTTATTGCATTCAGCAAGTTTCGATATGAATCACTGTCTCTGCTCATTTCTAAATATTTTATGTCTCCTGTGTTTTTTAAGTCTGAACTCATAAGTTGTACTGAATTTTTAGTTTTAAAAATGTATTTTTAAATCTTTTAATATTTAATCTTTTACATAAATTTGTAGTCACAGAATATGGTCTGTATTTCTTTTTTTTCTTTTCTTTTTCTTTTCTTTTCTTTTTTCTTTTTTTTTTTTTTTTTTTTTTTTTTTTTGAGACGAAGTTTTGCTCTTGTTGCCCAGGCTGGAGCGCAATGGCACAATCTCGGCTCACTGCAACCTCCACCTCCCGAGTTCAAGCAATTCTCCTGCCTCAGCCTCCCAAGTAGCTGGGATTACAGGCATGCACCACTACGCCCGGCTAATTTTGTGTTTTTAGTAGAGACGGGGTTTTGCCATGTTGGCCAGGCTGGTCTCGAACTCCTGACCTCAGGTGATCCGCCCTCCTCGGTCTCCCAAAGTGCTGGGATTACAGGCATGAGCCACTGTGCCCAGTCATGGTTTGTATTATATGAAGTTTTTGGAAGATTTTGAGACTTCCTGGGTGGATTAATAAGTCATCAATTTTTGTAAATGCTTCATTTGTTCTTGAAAAGGATGTGGATTCTCTGCTGATGCTGTTTTGTACATATAATGACAACACCAATAATGAAAATATAACAGCGACAATAACAATCATATTAACGATAAACGTTAGAGCTCTTACCAGATGACAGGCTCAGTCTGACTACTTTTTTTAAAGAAAGCATGCTTACTTTTGCCTTATATTTATGATTATGATTATGATTATTTTTTGAGATGGAGTTTTGCTCTCGTTGCCCAGGCTGGAGTGCAATGGTTTGATCTCTGCTCACTGCAACCTCTGCCTCCCGGGTTCAAGCGATTCTCCTGCCTCAGCCTCCTGAGTAGCTGGGATTACAGGCATGTGCTACCACGCCCAGCTAATTTTGTATTTTTAGTAGAGGCAGGGTTTCTCCCTGTTGGTCAGGCTGGTCTCAAACCCCCGACCTCAGGTGATCCGCCCTCCTCAGCCTCCCAAAGTGCTGGGATTACAGCTGTAAACCACCATGCGCAGCCGATTATTTTTTATTTGTATACGTTTATGGGGTACGAGTGTAACTTTGTTGCATGGATAGATTCCAGAATGATGAAGTTAGGGCTTTCAGGGATCCACTAACCCAGTGACATACATTGTATCCGTTACGTAATTTTTTTTTTTTTTTTTTTTTTTTGACGGAGTCTTGCTCTGTCACCCAGGCTGGAGTGCAGTGGCGTGATCTCAGCTCACTGCAACCTCTGCCTCCCGGGTTCAAGCGATTCTCCTGCCTCAGCCTATCTGATTACTTTTAACATAATAACTCACCGAATAGTCACAAAAATTTTATGAGTTCTGTACAATTACTTTGTATTTTTTTTTTTTTTTTTTTTTTTGAGACGGAGTCTTGCTCTGTCGCCCAGGCTGGAGTGCAGTGGCGCGATCTCAGCTCACTACAAGCTCCACCTCCCGGGTTCACGCCATTGTCCTGCCTCAGCCTCCCGAGTAGCTGGAACTACAGGCTTGCGCAACCACGCCCGGCTAATTTTTTGTATTTTTAGTACAGACGGGGTTTCACCGTGTTAGCCAGGATGGCCTCGATCTCCTGACCTCGTGATCCGCCCGCCTCGGCCTCCCAAAGTGCTGGGATTACAGGCGTGAGCCACCTTGCCCGGCTGAAAAATTTTTTTTACAGAGGAAGAAGTAGAGGAACAGAGAGGTTAATAAACTTACTCTAAAGTCACAAAGCTTATAACTGGTACAACCATAATTAAAAGCTAGAGATCTGGCTTCTAGAATTGTACTCAGTAATCATGCCCTTGTAGCCTTCCTTATACTTCCTATATACTGTATATGTCTATTCATTCATAAGTTTAGAGATTTTAGATACTCAACAAATATTCATTCAAAAAAATTTATTGAGTATCTATTGTGTGCCAGGGACTGTCCTAGGTGCAGGGACACTATAGGAAACACTGCAGAAAAAACATCTATGACTTCATGGAGATATATTCTAATGGGGGGGCAGATCATAAACAATATTAATAAATAAAATATATGCAAGATTAGTGATATATGCTGAAGAAAGAAAAAAAGGCAGTGAGAGGTGATATGAAATCTGGAGGGAGTGTTGCAACTTTAGATAGGATGGTCCAAGAAGACCTGAAGGAGAAGGGAATATTGGAGTCAAGAGTGAAGGAGGCAGAGAGTGAGCCCCATGCATCTCTGGGGGAAGAGTGTTCCAGGCAGAAAGCATGGCACATGCAAAGGTCCTGAGGCAGATGCATGCTTGGTGTATTCTAGGAACAGCAAGGATGTCCATGTGGCTGGATCAGGGTCACGAAGGGGAAAGTGGGAGGAGATACAATCAGAGTGCTAAGCCAAGAGGTGGGTGGGGGAGAGAAGATGCAAAGTCTTGTCAATATGACCTTGGTGGGAAGTTCTGGAACGCTTTTGGGCATAAGAGTGTATTAGTCCATCCTGGGTGCCAATTTTCTGTATTAGTCCGTTCTTGTATTGCTGTAAAGAAATACCTGGCACTGGGAAACTTACAAAGAAAAGAAGTTTAATTGGCTCATGGTTCTGCAAGCTGTACAGGAAGCACAGTGGCTTCTGCTTGGCTTCTGGGGAGGCCTCAGGAGGCTTTCAGTCATGGTGGAAGGCAAAGGAGGAGCAAACACTTTACATGGCTGGAGCAGGAGGGAGAGAGAGAGAGAGAAGAGAGGTGCCATACACTTTTAAACAACCACATCTAATGAGGACTCACTCACTATCGTGAGAACAGCACCGAAGGGGATGGTGACAAACCATTCATGCTGGAGCCACCCCCATGAGCCAATCACCTCCCACCAGTCCCCACCATTCATACCGGAGCCACCCCCATGAGCCAGTCACCTCCCACCAGTCCCCACCATTCACGCAGGAGCCACCCCCATGAGCCAATCACCTCCCACCAGTCCCCACCATTCACGCAGGAGCCACCCCCATGAGCCAATCACCTCCCACCAGTCCCCACCATTCATGCAGGAGCCACCCCCATGAGCCAGTCACCTCCCACCAGTCCCCACCATTCATGCAGGAGCCACCCCCATGAGCCAATCACCTCCCACCAGTCCCCACCTCCAACACTGGAGATGACAATTCGACATGAGATTTGGTGGGGACACAGATCCAAACCATACTAAGGAGTGACACAAAGTGGCCAGTGCTTTTGCTATACTGCCATTTTATTGCCAAATCGTATTTTATGATCAGCATGCCTTATTTTATGGAATTGGACTTGCACTTTGGAGGGAGACTTTGATTTTCATGAAGGCATGTGGCATGCATGTGATAATGATGCCAGCAGTCCAGGTAAGCTGCTGTCAGCCCTTTCTCCAGGACATCACCCCCCGGTGTGAGTAGCTGGGCATTACCCTTGTACTTCCACTCTGGGGGCTGGTCACTAGGACCTGGCGGCAGGTACCCGGGACCTTCACTCTCTAAGAAGACACCTTGGGTTTCACCTGATGACCACTCCTTGCTCCTGAGGGGCATCCTTCCTGCTCTACCTGGACGTTGCTTTTGTTGTGTTCCTCTCAGCCACCTGTACAGGGACCATTGCTTCCAATGAAGAGGTCTTCTCCAAGAAGGGCTCCTTCCAAATTCATGGTCTTGATTAATGCAAAAATTTCACAGGAATAATAAAACATTTCATAGGAATCAGCTCTTGGCTAATTTTCCCCCATTGCCTGATCATCTTTTGAGTCATTTACTGCTTAATCTTTTGTAGAATCCACCTTCTTTTGACAAAGCTCTGTTCTCAAGGGAATGATTTCCCAGAATGACAGCCATAAAGTTAGCTATTGTCTTCTCTCATCCGGACCCACCCAAAACTCCAGAAACGAGCTTGGCTGGCACGGTGCATGAGCAGGCATCCCTGTGGCTTGGAGCAGCCATTGCTGTGTCTGATTGGCTGTGATCCTTGGGAGAATCGTTATCTTCTTACAAGACAACTCTGCTACTGTGTGGAGAACAGATTAATAGAGGAGGAATGTTAGATGCAAGAAGGATTAGTTAGGAAGCTCTTGCAATGATCCAGGTACAGCAGACAGTGGTTCAGGCTCGGGTGGTCTCCAAGAGGTGGAGAGAAATGATACTATTCTGGAGATATTTCAAAGGGAAATGTCTGATAATGTACTCACAGCTGTGGGATATGAGGAAAAACATGGAGTCAAGGGTAACACTTATTTTTTTTTTTTGCCCAAATAACTAGTGGCTGGAATTCTCATTTACTGAGATGGGAAAGACCTTAGGAGGAGGAGATTTGGGAGTGAATATAAGCAACTTATATTATAACATGTTATAAACACGTGAGGTTTAAGTTCCTACTGGACATCTACTGTGTGGCTTGATGTTTTTGATTCATTTTAGGAAATATTGTTCAGTAACCCTTCCAATATCGTGTCTGCCTTTCTCTTTCTCTGTCTTTCTTCCCCTTATGGGATTCCAGTTGTACATATGTTAAGTATTTTCACCATGTCCCGTATTTTCTTTTTTTTTCTTTTTCTTTTTTGAGATGGAATCTCACTCTGTCACCCAGGCTGGAGTGTAGTGGCACCATCTCGGTTCACTGCAACCTCCGCCTCCTGGGTTCAAGCGATTCTCCCGCCTCAGCCTCCTGAGTAGCTGGGATTACAGGCATGCGCCACTGAGTCCGGCTAATTTTGTATTTTTAGTAGAGATGGGGTTTCTCCCTGTTGGTCAGGCTGATCTCAAACCCCCAAGCTCAGGTGATCCACCCGCCTTGGCCTCCCAAAGTATTGGGATTACAGGTGTGAGCCACCGCGTCCGGCTGTGTTTGTTCTTATATTTGCTAGTTCTTTGTTGAAATTCTTCATCCTGCTCCTACTCAGCTTTTTGGTCTCTCATCTGCTGCCTTTAGTTTCAGAATCAGCAAACCGTTAACATAAAACTAACCTCAAAGGATAAAGTCCCCTTGCTTGGTTTCCTTCCTCTTTTATGTCTTGGAACCCTAAATTCTCTCTGCCTTGGAAGCATGCCAAGTTCTACAGACAGATGTTCTTTGGTTTTTGTTCATCTTTTACAGTTGTTGTTGTTTTTTTTGTTTTTTTTTTGTTTTTGAGACGGAGTCTCACTCTGTTGCCCAGGCTGGAGTGCAGTGGCGCGATCTCGGCTCACTACAATCTCCACCTCCCGGGTTCAAGCGATTCTCCTGCCTCAGCCTCCAGGGTAGCTGGGACTACAGGAACCCACCAACACGCCTGGCTAATTTTTGTATTTTTAGTAGAGAAGGGGTTTCACCATGTTGGCCAGGATGGTCTCGATCTCTTGACCTCATGATCTGCCTGCCTCGGCCTCCCAAGGTGATGGGATTACAGGCGTGAGCCACCGCGCCTGGCCTAAAGTTTTTTTTTTTTTTTTTTTTAATTAACGGTGAGAAGTTTAGTCTAAAACAACCTAGTCAGATATTTCTGGAAGCCAAACTTCCATCAGCATTTCTTCTGAGCCTACCTCCCAGTCATAAATCCACATATTTACTGAAATTCCTGCTGTGATAATTCCAGTGCAAACAAATCATCACTGTCCTGGAAGGCAAGAACTTTTTAACTGGTCTATCCACACTTGGTTTTTCTTGTTTTCTTTAAGAAATACAATGATATATCAATAATAGGTAAGGACGGCCGGGTGCGGTGGCTCACGCCTGTAATTCCAGCATTTTGGGAGGCCGAGGTGGGTGGATCATGAGGTCAGGAGATGCAGATCAGCCTGGTCAACATGGTGAAACCTCGTCTCTACTAAAAATACAAAAGTTAGCCAGGCGTGGTGGTGGGCGCCTGTAGTCCCAGCTACTCAGGAGGCTGAGACAAGGAGAATTGCTTGAACCTGGGAGGCGGAGGTTGCAGTGAGCCGAGATCATGCCACTGAACTCCAGCCTGGGTGACAGAGCAAGACTCTGTCTCAATAATAATAATAATAATAATAATAATAATAATAATAATAATAGGTAAGGACATACTTTCTTCCTGGGTTGAAATCCAGTTCCTTCCATGAAATTATGCATGTTAATACATGACACTAATCAAACTAATTAACCTCTGAGTTCAGTGTTCTCATCATTAAAATGAGTCTAGTGATGAAAACACCTTTCCAAAGTTGTTGGGAAAATTAAGTAAACTATCCATACTGGGGACTCAGGGCAGTGTCTGGCATAAAGTAAATGCTCAGAAAACGTTACCTCTTACTGTTTTTGCTTCGTGCAATTCTGACTTCAGGAAGTGGTCTTACAGATACATTTTAGACAAAAATATGATGATGCCATACTTATGCTCAAAACCTGTCCCACTCTCTTGAGGGTAAAATACCAAAACTTTATTTGGCCTTTTAGAGACTCCTGCTCAATCAGTACACATATTCTTCGTATTATTTTTCCATCTGGAGTCCACTCAACTTACAACAGGAAAAATTGTCTCCTGATTAGGGCTTTCACAGAAGCTGTCTCCTCCGTCCACGTCTCCCCCAGCTGCTCTTCCTGTCGCCAGCTCGTCAGTCCTCAGCCCCAATTCCACTCCACACTGCAGGTGGCTTCCCTGGAGTTAGCTCTGAGGGTTGAGTCCCCTTTTCACACAAGGTCGTAGGATTTTTTTTTTTTTCTGAGACGGAGTCTTGCTCTGTCCCCAGGCTGGGGTGCAGTGGCTCGATCTCGGCTCACTACAACCTCTGTCTCCCAGGTTCAAGTGATTCTCATGCCTCAGCCTTCCAAGTAGCTGGGACTACAGGTGTGCACCACCACACCCAGCTTAGTTTTGTATTTTTAGCAGAGACGGGGTTTCACCATGTTGGCCAGGATGGTCTCCACCTCTTTTTTTTTTTTTTTTTTTGAGATGGAGTCTCGCTCTGTCGTCCAGGCTGGAGTGCAGTGGCACGATCTTGGCTCACTGCAAGCTCCGCCTCCCAGGTTCACGCCATTCTCCTGCCTCAGCCTCCCAAGTAGCTGGGACTACAGGTGCCCGCCACCATGCCCGGCTAATTTTTTTGTATTTTTAGTAGAGATGGGGTTTCACCGTGTTAGCCAGGATAGTCTCGATCTCCTGACCTTGTGATCTACCTGTCTTGGCCTCCCAAAGTGCTGGGATTACAGGCGTGAGCCACCGCACCCGGCTGGTCTCCATCTCTTGACCTTGTGATCTGCCTGCCTTGGCCTCCCAAAGTGCTGGGATTACAGGCGTGAGCCACTGCGCCTGGTCACATTCAGATTTTTTATTTAAAAGGCACGGATGAGCCCTTTCCACTCTCTCTTCCTCTTTCCCCTCACTGGTAACAGAGCACTCCAAGGTTCTAGGGGAGGTTGGACCCCAAAGTTGGAAGAATCTGGGCACCTGAGTCACCTGATGGAGGAGCTCCAACTGCCAACCGGGGGCCCCCATATGGACGTGTCACCCAGTGAGAAGTGAGCCTTCCATTGTGACAAACTGCAGGTATTTCAAGGCTAATTTGTTAAAATCTACGGTTAATATGCTATATATGACTTTTGAATAGTCAGAGGTGTGCCCTCCACATTAGACTGTGAGGTCCGTTGACTTGTGTGGCTCGTCTCTGACACAGACTCAAGCCCTTAATAGGCGCCTGGAAACGTATGTTTTCGTTCACACAAAAAGGAAGTTGACCAAGCCCCCTTGATGAAGCCTCACTGGGGAGGTGGCCCATCGAAGGTTGTATATTGTGAATGGGGCGAAGGCAGCGTCGCCGTCTCCTTCAAGTCTGACCTCCAGGTTGGTGTTCAGATTCCCCCTCCACACCCCACAGCCGTGGTTGCCCGTCTGGATTTGGTGTTTGGGTCAGAGATGACGTTCGGGCCGGGCGTATGGATGATGATGTCCAAGGAGACAGTTCTCTCCTTTACCCCAGTCACAGGAAGGAAGAACTAAGCCTCATGGTGACTTCCTGGGAGATACGTGGTAAGAAGCCACAAGACGGTTGGGACTGAGTCTCTGCGCACCGCATCCTGAGCCTCTGCATTCTGCACAGCGGGGCGGGCGCAGGCAGCACGGTGCCCCTTACCATGCTTTCTTCCTGGACTTTCCCTTGACCAGTCTTGGCACGGCAGGCGAGGGATTGAGGGATTGGGGCTGGGAGGTGGGGAAGACAGCTCTCTCCCTGGGCCCATGTCTGGTTAGATCAATGCTGTGGGAGCTTAGCGATCGAAGAGGGAGCAGAGATGACGGCGGGACGGCATTGTCTGCCCAAGCCTCAGGCTTCGCAGCCCAGGCTGGGACCAAGAGCTTACAGACGTCATCGAGTGCAGATTTTGAGCGACGTACTGAGCATTGTAAATCCAGATTTCTCTTCCAGAGCTGAGTCTGGGCCACAGGACCTGGACACAGGAGGGTCAGTCTTTCCGGTAATGGTGAGGGTCTGTCTTCTTGGAGCAGCACAGCGGACTCCCACCAGGACAGTGGATGCTGGGTACGGAAGGGCTGGGCTGAGGACAGTGGATGCTGGGTACCGAAGGGCTGGGCTGAGGGGGTCACTTTGGCAGTGGTTCTGGAGTCTAAATTTCTAAGGGCCTGGAACTCAGGAGACTCTAGATGCTGATTCTTTTCTGGAGAACTTCTCCAGAGTCACCATCCTGGCTTGTGCAGACTCAACATTCCACCTGAAGAGCTCTGGGAACCTCTGGGGCTGGGAGCCTTCTGGGCCTGATGAGTTCTGTTGGGATGGAGAAGATGATCTTGAAGTTAAAGATTTCAGTGGGAGTCCAGGAAAACGTCGCAGCTGTCCATCATACCCACAACAGCAAACGACTCAGGACTTTGCCAAGGTCACTGCGGCAGCCAAAACCACAGCTGTGATCTGGGGCCGGACTCATACCCAGGGGTTGTCTGGGTTCAGGTTCTGCACCCCCGGTTCAGAGAAAGAGGAAACGGAGTGGGCCGTGTGGACCCCGTCCTTCATCGAACTCCAGAACTAAGGGAACTGGGAGGGGAGAAGGCCGTCACCCTTGCACAGAGCTGCCTCCTTCAGTTCTAGTGGTTTCTACTCCTCTCTGCAGGTTAGCTAAGACGTGCATGGGTTCCAGAGGGAATATGACAATATTTCTCTTTAATATTACTTGAACCTTTGGTTTTGATTTCCTTCTAAGTACAGGGGAGTCAATCACCCCACATGGTCCATCAATCAGGTGTCACAACATCATGCTCCTGGGCTATACATTCTCAGGTACATTTCTTCTTGAGATTATTTTTCACGTGAGGCAGAAATATGTGGCTGCTCACCAGAAAAAAAAAAAATTCTGTACTTACCCTTACAGTGCAAGCATTGGAACCTCTGGGAAGTGGCTACCCCCACCAAGGGACTTTTTCCCTGGTCTTGTTGCATCATTGTGTGACTGTTCATAACACTATTTATAGCCAACAATTCTGGACAGAAATGACATGTGTCAGCAAATTTTGCAAGTGCACAGATATATTCTGTTTCTCCTTCTTTCTTGCTGTTTGAAGTACGGGACGCCATTGCCCAAGGGCATGATGGGAGCACAATGGAGGAAGCGGGTGTCCCTGAGTCATCCTGGGGAGAAAATTCAAATTCTGCCCCAGAGAAAACCGCACTGGTCATTTACATGAGTGAAAAGCCAAATCCCATTGTGTTAAGCCATTGGTGCGATCTCGGCTCACTGCAACCTCTGTCTCCCTGGTTCGAGCTGGGATTACAGGTGTGCACCACCACTCTTGGCTCTCACTCTTGTCTCACAATAGTCGTGAAATAATTTGTGATTTGCTATTTGACCCTGTTCCCATAATCATTACACTAAGAGCTAGGTTGAGGGCAGGGACTGGATCTGTTTTGTTCATTCCTGAATCTCAAACACCAAGCGTATAAGAGGTAATTGATAAATATTGGTCTATCGACTTATTTATTTTATTTATTTATTTATTTTTGAGACGGAGTCTCGCTCTGTCACCCTGGCTGGAGTGCAGTGGCGCGATCTCGGCTCACTGCAAGCTCCGCCTCCCGGGTTCATGCCATTTTCCTGCCTCAGCCTCCCAAGTAGCTGGGACTACAGGTGCCCGCCACCACGCCCAGCTAACTTTTTGTATTTTTTTAGTAGAGATGGGGTTTCACCGTGTTGGCCAGGATGGTCTCGATCACCTGACCTCGTGATCTGCCCGCCTTGGCCTCCCAAAGTGCTGGGATTACAGGCGTGAGCCACCACACCAGGACTGGCTTTTTAATTTAATTTTGTTTTTTTAGGACAGAGTTTCGCTCCTGTTGCCCAGGCTGGAGTGCAGTGGTGCGATTTCGGCTCACTGCAACCTCTACCTCCTGGGTTCAAGCAATTCTCCTGCCTCTCAGCCTCCCAAGCAGCTGGGATTACAGGCGCCCGCCACTATGCCCCTCTAATTTTGTATTTTTAGTAGAGATGGGGTTTCACCAGGTTGGCCAGGCTGGACTCGAACTCCTGACCTCAAGTGATCCATCCGCCTCGACCTTCCAAAATGCTGGTATTACAGGCATGAGCCACTGTGCCAGGCCAGTTGATCGACTTTTAAAGAAAGAATATTCACAAATTTAGATTTAGAGAAGTTTATAAGGAGGCCGGGCTCAGTGGCTTACACCTATAATCCCAGCACTTTAAAAGGCTGAGGTGGGCAGATCACGAGGTCAGGAGTCCGAGACCAGCCTGGTCAGCATGGTGAAACCCCGTCTGTACTAAAAATACAAAATTATCTGGGTGTGGTGGTGCATGCCTGTAATCCCAGTTACTCACGAGGCTGAGGCATGAGAATCACTTGAACCCGGGAGGCGGAGGTTGCAGTGAGCCAAGATCATGCCATTGCACTCCAGCCTGGGTGACAGAGTGAGACTTCATCTCAAAAAAAAAAAAAAAAAAGAAAGAAAGAAAGACAAGTTTATAGGGGAAGTGGCTTGTCAAAGTTCTCTGAGGCTGTGGGACAGGAAGTCACAGGAGAAGCTCATTCTGGCTGACTTCCCAGCTGGTGTTCTGCACCTCTATCAGTATCTTAGGAACCAAGTTACCACGACACACCTATTAGAGTGGCCAAATTCTAAAACGCAGACAATACCACATACTGGCCTACTGGCGAGGATGTGGAGCAACGGGAACTCTCATTCATTGCTGGTGGGATTGCCAAATGGTACAGCCACTTTGGGAGACAGTGCGGCAATTTCTTCTAAAACTAAATATAGCTTTGCCATGTAATCCAGCAATTGCATTCCTTGATATTTACCGAAGGGAGCTGAAAACATACGGTCATATGGATCTTTACAGTAGCTTTATTCATAATCGCCCAAACTTGGAAGCAACCAAGATGCCCTTCAGTAAGTGAGTGGATTAACTATGTGTCCAGACAATGGAATATTATCCCATGCTAAGAAGACACAAGCTCTCAAGTCATGAAAAGATGTGGAGGAGAGTTCAATGTATATCACTACACGAAATAAGCCCGCCCAAATGGCGTATCCACTGTCTGATTCCAACTATGTGACATTCTGGAAAAGGCAAAACTATAGAAAGAGTGTAAAGTTCATTGGTTGCCAGAATAAAAGGCTTGGACAAGAGGAAATCATCCCAGTGGAAATGGAGAAACGCAGGAACAAATGAAGAGCAACAGAAGAAGCTAAATATTTGGGTAAAGACAGGAATTTTGAATGATGATTTCATCATTAATGAATTAAGAAGACATTGATGCGTGCTCATTCTATATTTGATGACATTGCAAACATTGTTTTGAAAACTATACTTTGCACTAAAATTAAAAACGAGGCTGGGCACAGTAGCTCATGCCTGTAATTCCAGCACTTTGGGAGGCTGAGGCGGGCAGATCACCTGAGGGCAGGAGTTCAAGACCAGCCTGGTCAACATGGCGAAACCCCATCTCTACTAAACATACAAAAATTAGCTGGGTATGGGGTCACACCCTTATAATCCCAGCTACTCAGAAGGCTGAGGCAGGAGGATCGCTGGAGCCTGGGAAGTGGAGGCTGCAGTGAGCTGAGATTGCACCATTGCACTCCAGCCTCGGTGACCCACCTTAAATAAATAAATACAATTTTTAAATGATAGCATATATATATATACACACACATATACATACACACCAAATAGGTACATCGATGAGAGAACACTATATTTACAAAAGTGCAAGGGAAATTTGAATATAAGACTTCAGATGCTGGTTACGGTACCTGAGGTAGGAGGGGGAAACAGGCTGGAGTATACACTACAGAAATAGACATGCTTTATCAATTGTCTGATTTCCCTGGAGCATGTTGACTTCACGTTGATTTTTTTTTACATGTTCTGTTAAAAAAATTTCTTTAAATTGGCCTTTGGAAATTTACCAGCAGTGTGCTGGTAAAGTCTTGACAATCAGCTCTCTGAAAAAAAAAGCAAAAAGAAAAACAAAAAACAACCCCGACGTGTAGCATTTGCCGATTTCTCTGGTGTAAATACTCACAGCATGGCTTTGACATGAGTTTTACATTTGGTAAAAGCAAATTGTGCCTACTTTGAATAGAAGGATTGGGACAGAGATATGGTTCTTGTCAGGCACTAATTAGGGAGTAAGGCTTGTCTAATATTGCCTTGGCTCTCAAGCAAAATAAAAAAAAAAAAGTAACGTTTGGGAATCTGTGTTGCTTCCTCAGCCCCATCCTGGGTAAAATCGGAGACGTATACAGGGCAGGGAGAAGCTGTTTATTTCCGTGCCTGCGGCTGGAGCTTCTTAAGGATTTGAGCTGTGATGCTGGCACCTGGCAGACCACATCCTGTGCGGTTTTCAGTTTTGCTCCGTTCCTGACCCTGGTATAGCAGAAGCTTTTTCACATCTATGACACCCGCTATGTCTTGGTAAACCCTGGAAGGGAAAGGAGGACAAGGTTAAAATACTGTTCCGAGGATCTGGTCTCTCCACAGCGCAGGCTGGAGGTGGCAGCCCGTGGAAAGCCAAGTTCATCCACCATCGGAGCCCAGGCCAGGCTGCCAAGGCTAATATTCAGGACAAAGCCAGGCACAGGTCGGGAATCCTATGAAGATGATCATCGTCCTGAGGTCTTCCTTCCAGGGTTGCATCCGCGACAGAAGATGGAAAGAGAAATGGGTGAGTCCCTGCTACCACCCCACCCTCAGGTTGCTTTTTTGGCTGAACAAGAAGGGTCCTCCCAGGCAGGAAGGGTGGGGCACAGAAACGTGAGCCAATGTGGATGACTTGGGGAGGGCTTTGCAGTTGAATCTCCTGAAAACAGCAAGAAGTACAGACCTCCGGGCATTCTAGACTCAGATTCTGTAGACGCTTCCCTTTGGCCGAGCCAAGCCAGGGTTGCTCAGGAACTGGGGTCCTTGAGATTGGATTAGATTGGACGGAACGACACAGGATTGCAACGTGCAGAACTGTGAGGACCGGGGTTTAGCTTGAGTTCCCCAGTCTGTCCACGAGGTCCAAGCTTGAGATCATTACGGCGACCACATCTCAGGAGGAAGATAGGTCAGCAACGCAGTGACGTGCTGGAATAGTTTTGAAATATTTGAACTATTCTAATGCAAACTCTTCTTTTAATGACATTTCACATTGCATCTTGTGTCATTTTATTTCTGTAGATGTTGTCTTTCCACTTGACATTTAATTGGTGTTTAATTTAAGTTGCAAATATTGTGTATGTATCTGAGTCTAGTGTGAGAATCACTACTCTATGCCTGTGCATCCCACATCAAGTAACGTTTTTGAGTGAGGGAGCTGTGCCATGCTGAATCTGCAGCATGCCTTGGACATAAGCATGTAGCTTGTCTTCTCCAGCTTGGAGGAGAGTCTCAGAGGAAAGGTCTTAGAGGAATGCAAAGGTGGAGGGGTCCTCATAATATGGAACAACGACAGCTCTGTATCACCCTTCTTATGGAAAAACCCAGAATAACTGCCCATGTGTTCTGTGACCTTGGATTGTGGAGGAACAGACGGATGTCGATTCTGCCAGCCACTCCTTCCCCAGTGGGCAGCACATCCTTGCCCCCCAACCTTCCTGGGCACCTGGAGTTCAGATACTAGGGGAATATTAATCAGGGTCCAACCAGGAAAACAGAAACCCTTCTCTGCAGTTAACAGAGAGGGAAGTAAATGCAGGACGGTGCCCCTGCATTGGATCCCAGCACAGGCAAAGAACGTTGGTGGAAAGATGATGAAATCCAAAGAAAGCCTGTCAGTTAATTATTGTACCAGTGTTAATTTTTTTTTTTTTTTGGCGGATGTGCTGGGGTCGTGTAAAGCATGAACATTAGAGGGACCTGGATGAAGGGCATATGGGAACTCTCTGTACCTCTGCAACTCTTTTGCAAGTTTAAATTTATTCCCAGGTAAGAAGTGTGTTTAAAAAATGAATTAGTCGGCCGGGTGCAGTGGCTCACGCCTGTAATCTCAGCACTTTGGGATGCCAAGGTGGGCGGATCACCTGAGGTCGGGAGTTCGAGACCAGCTTGACCAACATGGAGAAACCCCGTCTCTACTAAAAATACAAAATTAGCTGGGCATGGTGGTGCGCACCTGTAATCCCAGCTACTCAGGAGGCCGAGACAGGAGAATCGCTTGAACCCGGGAGCCAAGATTGCACCATTACACTCCAGCCTGGGCAACAAGAGTGAAACTCAGTCTCAAAATAAATATATAAATAAATAAATAAATAAATAAATCAGTCAACAAATACATATCAAAAAGGAACCAGTGGCCACATGGAGGCAAAGGAGCATGAGGAATCTTCTGAGCAGTGAAGAAAATCTTGGATATGTTGGTGGTTTCACAGCTGTCAGAATTCACTGAATTGCACAGATTAAGTGGATGCAGTTTGTGTGCAAAGGATCCTTTGATAAAGCTGAATAAAAATCACTAATGAAGACCTAAAGTGAAAAGAGGCAGGGAGGATAATCTAATGCATAGAAACCATTATGCCAGTAAAAGAAGAGTCAGAAGCAGGAAAGTCATTCTCAGGAGCCACTGTGTTTTGGCCTCATGTTCAATGCTAAGTTTCAAAACAAATGTAGTATTCCTTGCAACCATGAGAAGTTGGTGAGTGATTTGAAATCATTCTTATGATGAGGTGGAAGCTTTTGGAATCTGTACCCCTGCACTTTATCCTTGTCCTCATGATTTACAAAACCATGAAAATAAAGCTCAGTTAATTCATCATCATCAAGGTGAGCTCCAGGTTCAGTATTCAGCTTGAGGCTGGGGACTCCATCTTTCTTTAACTTTTGACTGCATAGCCTTCACTTAGTTTTTATATCTCTTAGGCATTACAAAAAATTAGGCCAGGCGCGGTGGCTCACGCCTGTAATCCCAGCACTTTGGGAGGCCGAGGCGGGTGGATCATGAGGTCAGGAGATCGAGACCATCCTGGCTAACAAGGTGAAACCCCGTCTCTACTAAAAATACAAAAAATTAGCCGGGCGTGGTGGCGGGCGCCTGTAGTCCCAGCTACTGGGGAGGCTGAGGCAGGAGAATGGCGTGAACCCGGGAAGCGGAGCTTGCAGTGAGCCGAGATTGCGCCACTGCAGTCCGCAGTCCGGCCTGGGCGACAGAGCGAGACTCTGTCTCAAAAAAAAAAAAAAAATTAAAAAAAATATATATTTTTTTAGATGGAGTCTGGCTCTGTCACCCAGGCTGGAGTGCAATGGCACGATCTCGGCTCACTGCAGCCTCCGCCTCCCGGGTTCCCACCATTCTCCTGCCTCAGCCTCCTGAGTAGCTGGGACTACAGGCGCCCACCACCACGCCCGGCTAATTTTTTGTATTTTTAGTAGAGACGGGGTTTCACCGTGTTAGCCAGGATGGTCTCGATCTCCTGACCTCATGATCTGCCCACCTCGGCCTCCCAAAATGCTGAGAAGATTACAGGCGTGAGCCATTGCACCCGGCCTAAAAAATCTTTAACATATTATATTAAGCAGTTTTAGTTGGTTTATTGTTATTTTTTAGATGGATTGCTGTCTTATGGACTCACAGAAAATTGGATTAGATTGGAAGGATATACCAGGGACTGTAACATGCAGAACTCTTTGAGGACCAGGGTTTAGCTTGAATTCCCCTGTCTGTCCACGAGATCCAAGTTTGTGATCATTACTGTCACCACGTCTCAGGAGGAAGACTGGTCAGCAAGGCAGTGATCATGCTGGAATGTTTTTGAAACGTTTGGACTATTCTGATGCAAACTCATCTTTTAATGACATTTCACACTACATCTCATGTCACTATATATGTTTTTAAATTTTTAATTTTTGTGTATACATAGTAGGTGTATATATTTATGGGGTAGATGAGATGTTTTGGTACAGCACGTGACTCCCTCTTAGTTATGCAAATTTCTCCAGCAAGTCGTTGCCCAGCAGCCTACTTGAATTCCTCCCCTGAAAACGGACTTTTCTTTTCTACCATGTGGCTAGTCCGCAAATTTTTCGAACTTTTACACTTTGCTTCTCTTTTAAATATAAACTCTACCTTTAGGTAATTTCTTTGCTCCCACATCTGAGCCTAGGTTGGTACAAGAAGCCATGCCACTTGAACACTTTGTTGCTTAGAAATTTCTTCTGACTTGGCCAGGCTTGGTGGTTCACGCCTGTAATCCCAGCACTTTGGGAGGCCGAGGCGGGTGGATCACGAGGTCAGGAGATCGAGACCATCCTGGCTAACACGGTGAAACCCCGACTCTGCTAAAAATACAAAAAATTAGCCGGGCGTGGTGGTGGGCGCCTGTAGTCCCAGCTAATCGGGAGGCTGAGGCAGGAGAATGGCTTGAATCTGGGAGGCAGAGGTTGCAGGGAGCCGAGATCGCACTGCTTCACTCCAGCCTGGGCAACAGAGCGAGACTCCGTTTAAAAAAAAAGAAAAGAAATTTCTTCCGCCAGACACCCTGGCGTGGTATCTCTAGGGCATGGACAGAATGCAGCCACGTTGTTTGCTAAGGCGTAACAAAGGTGGCTTTCGCTCTAGTTCCAAGTAAGATCCTTATTTCCAACTGAGACCTTGTCAGCCTGGACTTCGCTGTTCACATCACTATCAGCATTTTGGTCACAACCATTTAATCCATCTCTAAGAAGTTTCAAACATTCCCTTCTCTTCCTGTCTTCCTCCGGGCCCTCCAAATAACATGAGGTCTATTCCGTTAACAAATTTCAAGTGAACAAGACGTTATTGCTGACGATGGGTCGTATGTGGTGCAGCAGATCTCTAGGCCTGTTTGTTAATAACTCCCCATTTCCCCCTCCTCCCAGCCCCCGTAACCACCATTCCCTGCTGTGATGTTGTGACTCTGGTGACTTTGCAGATCTCCTGTAAGTGACATCATGCAGTACTTGGTCTCTGCCTCTGCGTCGCTTGGCGTGATGTCCTCAGGTTTCGTCCGTGTTGTCGCCCATGGCAGAATTTTCTTCCTTGTTTAAGGCTGAATAGTATTCCCCTGTGTGTGCACCACATTTTCTATATCAATTCTTCTATCAATGGACATTTAGATGGTTTTCACGTCTTAGCTATTGCGAATAGTGCTGCAGTGATCAGGGGAGTTCAGACGGCTCTTTGACATACTGATTTTTTTTTTTTTTTTAGACAGAGTCTTGCTGTTGTTGCCCAGGCTGGAGGGCAATGGTGCAATCTCAGCTCACTGCAACCCCTGCCTTCTGGGTTCAAGCGATTCTCCTGCCTCAACCTTCCAAGTAGCTGTGCCCACCACCACACCCAGCTAATTTTTTGTATTTTTAGTAGAGACAGGGTTTCACTATGTTGGCCAGGCTGGTCTCGAATTTATGGCCTCAGGTGATCCACCCACCTTGGCCTCCCGAAGTGCTGGGATTACAGCTGTGAGCCACTGCGCCTGGCCTGTTTCTTTTAAATACAGACCCAGAAGTGGGATTGCTGGACCATATGGTAGCTCTATTTTTAATTTTTTGAGGAACCTCCCCACTGTTCTCTATAGTGATTGCCCAATTTTTAATTCCTACTGTGGTATGCGAGGGATCCAGTTTCTCCACATCCTCACCAATACTGTCTCCTTAAAAAAATAATATGCTTTGTAGGATATTTTTAACGTGTTAAATACCTTGTCGGGATTTTAGCATAGATCACAATATTAAAAACTTGGGGAAGGATTTCTATGGCTCCCATTTGTAATACAAGGAAATGTCAGCTTCTAGTTTTGTAACGTCTTGCCCAAGAGCTGCGACCGTTAACTTGTGGAGTTGGGACGGCGTCCAAGTCAATTGGTTGCCCGACCTTTATTCTGCCTTGTCCCATAGATTTAGAAAGAGGCTGACACATCTGGTAACTAGTTTACGGTCATCTGCCTCTAAGCGACATTTAGGGTAAGCGACATTTTTCAGAAACCAAGGCCCTCCCTCTCGTCTCACTAGTGGGAAGGGTGGAAAGAACAGGACAGAAAGCTCTTCCTCTTGTGTGAGGCAGTTGCTGTGGAAGCCCCATAGGCAGGAGGCCCCCGGGCAGCACATCCTGTCTGCTTGTGTCTGCTGCAGAGTTCTGTCCTTGCATTGGTGCGCCTCAGGCCAGGCTGCACTGCTGGGACCTGGGCCATGTCTCCCCACCCCACCGCCCTCCTGGGCCTAGGTGAGTCCTGGAGGCAGCCGGGAGGCTGGAAAGGGGGTCGGGAGGTCTGGAAAATTCCCTGCTCAAGCCTGACTCTAGTCCAGAAGATTCTGGGGAGGAAAGTGTCCTCCTCCTCCCAAGACTGCCCTGCTGCTCTCCCTGGGGCCTAAGTCTGATCAGAGAAGATCTTGTCCTAAAAACAGGGGCCCGGGTGTGGG
This sequence comes from Homo sapiens, assembly GCF_000001405.40. Classification (NCBI taxonomy): domain Eukaryota; kingdom Metazoa; phylum Chordata; class Mammalia; order Primates; family Hominidae; genus Homo; species Homo sapiens. The sequence continues at coordinate 345,977 of NW_003571055.2, read as the reverse complement.
GATGAGGTCAGCTTTAAGAAGGGCTGGGGGAGCAGGAGCCTTTTTGGAGGAGGAGACTTTGGGATTTATCTTGAAACCATTTTGCAGCAAGAAGGATTACATGGAGACAGTGATGTCGAGGAGGGTTGGCTTGGTCGTTATGAAATGCTGAATGCCCCCCAGCTCCATCGAGCCCCCTTTTGACAGCAGCCCCGTAAGGAGACTGGGCACTGGGCATTTTTCTCACTGGGGCTTCTCTTCCAGTGCTCTGCCTGGCCCAGACCATCCACACGCAGGAGGGTAAGTCATGCCTTCGTCCCGTCTTCCCAGTCCCCTCTGTCACCCCAAGGGCAGTGCTGGGTGGGAGTGATGTTGATTCTTAGAGGGCCTGGAGAGATCCCTTTAAATATACCCTAGATTGCAAACTCTTCCAAATGTAAAATGCATAACCAACCCTCACCCAGTTCTCTCTCGCATCCTCCACCTGTCTTATTTTGCTTTTCTTATTTTCAAAAATTTTATTTTTAATTGACAAATAATTGCAATTTGCGGGGTACAGTGTGATATTATGACGTATGTACACATTGTGGAAAGATTAAATAAAGCTGATTAACATATCAGCCCCATCACATACTTATTGTGATGAGAATATTTTAAATCTCCTTTTAGCAATTTTGAAATATACAATAAATTATTATGAACTACTGTCATTCTGCTGTGCCATAGATCTGAAAAATTCACTCGTCCTGGCTACTCGAAACTTTGTATCATTTGATCAGTGTCTCTCCCATGCCCCGCACCTGCAGCCTCCAATAACCACCATTCTACTCTGCTTCCGGGTGATCAACTTTTCTTAGATTCCACAGATAAGTGAGAACGCGCAGTAATTGTCTTTCTGTGCCCGGCTTATTTCACTTAGCCTAACGTCCTCTGGTTCATCCATGTTGTTGCGAATGACAGAATGTCCTTCCTTTTTTAGGGCTGAATAATATTCCATTGCATATACACAGCACATTCTCCTCATCCATTCATTTGGTGGTGGGCACTCAGGTTCTTGCCAGGTCTTGGCGGCTGTGAGTAGCGCTGCGGTCACCCTGGGAGTGCAGGGGTCAGCTCCGCACACCGATTTCCACAATGAGAATTCAAACCCAACACAACCAAGGCTGAGCCCGGCACTTTTCCCCAGACGAGCCCACACTTCACTCGGCAGCTTCTTGGCGGGGAACGTGACAGTCACAAAGGGCAGACTCTGAACACTCATCCTCTTCTCCATCCTCCTGGATGCACCATGTCACCCAGTCCTGGTGATTTCACTCTAAATTTTTCTCATCTTTCCCTCTCTCTTCATCGACTTTTCCTGCATCACCCCCAGGTGACAGCCCCTCTCCCCTCCGTGGCTCCCCGAGGCCGGCCTCAGCCTGTCCATGCCACTGCTGCCTGCTCCCTTCCTGACCCCAGGGACTGGCGATTTGCAAAAGCACAACCATGACCATTGTACTTTCCACAGTTTTTAAATTGTATTCAAAAATTTTCATTTAATATCTCATCGTAAGATGAAATCTTTTTTTTTTTTTCTCAGAGCCCTTCCCCTGTTTATCTTCAGATAGAATCAGACCTGTGCACCTCTCTTTGGTCTGGACATGCCCATTTTCCCAGCCACATCCTGTCCCTGTGACCTGGGGCTCACTCATCTCTACATTCCTCCAGGTTCTTTCGCTTTCTCAAACACTCCATATGCCGCTCAATATGGTGGTTCTTCTCACATGCTGATTTTGAAAAAAAATAATTCATTTTAAAAATGACCAATGAGGCTGGGTGCGGTGGCTCACATCTGTAATCCCAGCACTTTGGGAGGCAGAGGTGGGTGGATCACTTGAGGTCAGAAGTTTGAGACCAGCCTGGACAACATGGGGGAAACCCCGTCTCTACTAAAAATACAAAAATTAGCTGGGCGTGGTGGAGTGCACCTGTAATCCCAGCTACTCAGGAGGCTGAGGCAGGAGAATTGCTTGAACCTTGGAGGCGGAGGTTGCAGTGAGCTGAGATCGCGCCACTGCACTCCATCCTGGGTGACAGAGCAAGACTCTGTCAGTTCACAGCTGCAGATTTGGACAATTCTTTGATCAATACCGGTCCTCCCTTCTGGAAGTCCACCTCCAAACGGCAGGCATCCTGTGTGTGTTTCTCACATTTGTGGAATTAGCAGCCCATGAAAAACGTCTTTAAACAGATTGATAAGTAACTGAGATATGGTTAAAAGAAAGAAAAATGAACAAATGGGTGGGTTTGGGGAGATGCTGGTCAAAGGATAGAAAATTTCGTCTAGACAGGAAGAGTAAGTTCAGGATTGTGCAACACAATGACTACAGTTAATCACAATGTATCATATGCTTGAAAATCACTAAGAGGGCAGATTTTAAATGTTCTCACCACAACAATTAACTACGCAAAGTGAGGTTATATTAATTAGCTTGATTCAGCGATTCCACAGTGTATACCTGTATCAAAACATCATGTTGTACACCTTAAATACATGCAGTTTTAATTTGTCAATAATAAGGAATGAATGAAGACGGGACGAGTGAATTGAAGCCCTGCCAGCTCTCTGCCCCGCTCAGGGATTTTGCTAATTTTGACACAACCTTCCTGTTTCAGGGCATCAAACCCGCCCTTCCTCCTCCACCCCAAGCCCAGTTGAGATAAATGGGGTTTTTCAAGAGCCTTAATAAGAAGGAAATGCAAATTAGGCTGAGAAGAAAGTAGAAACTATAGAGGAAAACCCAGAGGTGGTGTCTCCACAGAGATCTGCATTAGCAATGGGGACCTGTCACGGGCTGGGCATCTGCTGTGAGCAGATCAGGGCTGGGGGCTTCACCCTCACCCCACCAGACCCTCAAAGGAGCCTGGCAACCCCCATCCCACACTCAGTCCCACCCGGGGACCGGCCAGTGCCCTTCAGGCCCCAGCACAAGCCATCTCCAGAGCCCTCGCTTCTCTGTCCCTTGTCCTTCACCAATGACCCTGTCATCCCCATCCTGTGCCTCCCTCCCACACTCTGTCCCTCTGGAAAGTGGCCCTGGGCTCTGCAGCAGGCATGAAGGGCCCCAGCCTGCTCCGACACTTCCCACGTGACCCTGAGCAAGGCCCAAGTTGTGAGCAAGTCTCAGGGTCCTCACTGTCAACTGGGAAAAAACTCTGCAGTGATGAGAATCACATGCACGTAGAAGGTGCAGGAGGCTTGGGAATGTTCTAAGGTTGGGCTGTGGTCATGGCTGCATAACTCTATAAAATTGCTAAAATCCCTGAATTGTGATGCTAAAATGACGTGTGTGGCATGGTGACTTCCTACAGTGGACGCTGAGATCCTGCTCTGCTTCCCTCCTAGAAGATCTGCCCAGACCCTCCATCTCGGCTGAGCCAGGCACCGTGATCCCCCTGGGGAGCCATGTGACTTTCGTGTGCCGGGGCCCGGTTGGGGTTCAAACATTCCGCCTGGAGAGGGAGAGTAGATCCACATACAATGATACTGAAGATGTGTCTCAAGCTAGTCCATCTGAGTCAGAGGCCAGATTCCGCATTGACTCAGTAAGTGAAGGAAATGCCGGGCCTTATCGCTGCATCTATTATAAGCCCCCTAAATGGTCTGAGCAGAGTGACTACCTGGAGCTGCTGGTGAAAGGTGAGGACGTCACCTGGGCCCTGCCCCAGTCTCAGCTCGACCCTCGAGCTTGTCCCCAGGTCCCTGGACCCTGTCCCAGCTGCTGTCCTCTGTGGCCAACCTTGTCCTCCTCCTGACCGCCAAGCCCTCCCCTTCCCCTCTCCGTCTGCACACACCTCCCCTCTGCCTCATACCCGCTTAGGTCCCTGGAGCCCTGATCTCCTCTGGACGCCACGGATGGCGTGGACACTCAGCTCCAGCATCTGGTGGGCTCAGAGCTGGCTCTGCTTGGCTGGGTGGGGAGTGGGTTCCCAGAGATTAGGGGGCAACCCCCCTACAAGAGGATGAGTGTCTTTTCACACGGGATGGATGGTCCCGCTTATTCCTTTCCACTGAGCCAGAACCTGCCCCAGGCAATGTGCTTCTCCTGGAGTGGTTCATCTCCCACTGGGCAGAACGCAGGGTCCAGGGATGGCCCCTGACCAGGGCGGGACAGTGCTTTGGGAAAACCTTTGGTATGTGACCACATGCACCCCTGTGTGTGCTCAGCCCGAGATGTCCTGGAGTCAAAGTCCACTGGAGAGGCTCCAATCCACCTTCATGTCCCCCCAGGACCTCAAAGGTCCCCTGAGGTCAAGAAGAGCTTGTGGTGGGAGGAGCAGAGGGAGTGACCAGCCCCAGGGAGAATGGGGCAAGCAGCGGGGCTCTCCCCAGCCTCCTGTCCCCTGCCTCGTTTTCTCAGGAGTCTCGAGACATTGTCTGGGATTGCGTGATGGTCATGCGGCCTTTGGATGGGGGCTCAGGGTGGAGGAGGGCAGGTTGGTTGGGACGGGTTCTAAATCCTTCTCCTGCCCCTGTTTACAGAAACCTCTGGAGGCCGGGACTCCCCGGACACAGAGCCCGGCTCCTCAGCTGGTCAGTAGCAGGGCCCTCAGCTGGAGGGGATTACAGGGGAATCTGTGCTGCGGATGCTGTTCCGGGTCCAGCCCTCTGCCCTGGGCTTGGAGTCAAGGTCTAGGGAGGCCACGGGAAGGCACCGACACCCACCAAGCTCTGGGAGGTCGCTAATGCTCACAGAGACCATAGCAGCAATGGTACAGTGATTGCAACCTTGTTCCATGCCAGGAACTGTGGAAAGCACTTAATGCAAGCACCACTTAATGGGGGAGGTACTAGTCTGATCCTCTAACTCCTCCTCCTCTCTAATATGCAAAACATAAATTAAAGTTTCGTGCTTAACGGCACAAGGCCATGAAGGGGCAGGGGCCACCCACCCGGGCAGCCCCACCCCAGACTTCCGGGCTCGCCCGAGCTCCACGCTGCCCCCTTGTGGGCGTGGCCTCACCATTCACCCCGCTCTGCACCTGATGGAGGGACTTAGAACTCACCTTCCAACCTGGGACACCCGGAGAGGGACGGGGCTGCTCCTGTTGGCTCTGTGATCTCCGGGGGAGGCCTGAACGGTGGAGTAAGGTCCCTTAAGAGGAGGAGGGCTCCACAGGGAGGGGACGTAGCTGTGAACGGTGACCAGGATGAAGCCATGAGGCTTCCCTTCCATCTGGCTCTGCCCTGGACTCTGTGATGGGATTGAAGCTGCCCCAAGTCCCTGGGTCTCAAGTTGTCCATCTCCCCCTGTGATCTGTGACCAGAAACTCCCAGGGGAGGACACGGGGTCATAAGCCATTCGCGGCCCCTTCCCCACCTGGGTTTCTATCCCCAGAGTACGTCCTTGGACCTAGACCCGGTGACTGCCTGTGAGGCTCGGGCTGTGAGCTCAGGCAGGTGGGACCAGGGGCTGAAGCCACATGGGGAGGTGGGAGGAGCGATGCCGTGCTCCATCCGGACCCCCTCAGAGGCTCCTGGGCTGCTGGGGCACAGCGGGACATGCTCCTGAGTCCCGCAGACCTGGTTCAAGTCCAGTGTCTGGTTTTTATTAGCCTTCTGTCTGCGGGAATATCTTGCCTCTGTTTCTCTCCCTCTCTTCTTCTCCTTCCTTCTCTCTTCTCTCACCTTCATGCAGTGACATATAAAGGTCACGAGGACAGACCCTCCTGCAGCCAGATTGCTGGGTTCATGGTTCAAATCCCGGTGGTTCTGCCACCTCCTGGCTCTATGCCTGACGGTGACTCACCCAAACCTCCTGTGTCCCAAATTCCTCATGTGAAACAGAGGCAATAGAAGAGCTGTCCTGGTAGAATCGTTTAGGGCAGACTTGAGTTCAGGTACACACGGCGCTGACATCAGTGCTGATTAGAAAACCCCAAAGGAGGGATGCTCCTATTAATACTGAGGAAGTATTTTGTCCTCACAGGGACTGTGCCAGGCACTGAAGCCTCCGGATTTGATGCACCAAGAATGAGGAGAAATGGCCTCCCGTCTTGTGAACTTCAATGGGGAGAAATAGTTAGAATGAGCAATAGAAATGCACTGATTCCCATACATGCATATACAGATAAAAATATATGATTTGCAATGTAGAATTTCAGACCTATAATTTAAATTATATTATATATGTTTACATCATAATATATATATATTATATATATATTATATATATAAGGAAGATAATTATATAATAAAACATGTTAGTGTATCACTACATATGACTATAGTGTATATTATATATTATATGAAAGATATATTTACAATATATAGTATAATAAATTTCAAGTGTTATAGTTAATAAATAAATATAGGTATTAATGTAAATATATTATCTATTATGTATACATTATGTATAACTATAATAGAAAAAATATTTTATATTTAATCATAGGTTTATATCAAATATAAATTATACATTATATATTATAGTGAATATATGTAACATATATTATAAGTTATAAATCATATACAATTAACATTATATACATTAAATTATATGTATATGTCAAGATTACATAATTAAAAATATATTTGTTATATATTATACATTTGCATAATACATGATACATATAACTATAAATAATATAAAAACTGTAATATTGCACATATATAATACATATGTAATTTTAAATGGTGGCAAATGTTATGAAGACCAAGCCCAGGAAGTCATGGTGTAGAATAACGGGTGGTGTCCTGGACCTTAGACCGTGGACGAGGCAGGAGGGAAGGACATTCCAAGAGAGAATGTCTGCCTTTCTTGAAGGATATTGAAGATGCTGCCTCAGCCCCGGGGGAGGGGAGGGACCGCTGTTCCTGGAAGAGGGACGCTTGGCTCGGACCCTGGGTTTGGGGGAGCCCCTCAGGACCCCATTTAGCCACCTGGGAATTGGGTAGTGGCGTGCACTGTGCAGAGGAGGGTGAAGGTTGGAGGAGATGACGGGCGGGCCTGCAATGCGCTGCGTAGGGAGCCTGGGCGGTGCCCCACACACTCGCCCGCTAGCTGCAGGGCTTCAGGAAAGAGGAGCACATCGGGACTTGGATTCTTCCCACAGGAGGGCGGGTTACATCCCCGTCAGAGGGTTGCCGCGAGGGCAGATAAAATCAGACATGAGGATTCTTGCCCTCTGGTGGGAACCCAGAAGGAGGTCAGGGAGGGAAGGTCTCCCTTCCTCTTGTTGCGGGTGGTTGGTCTCTGCCTAGATCCGCAGAGGGCAGAAATTAGCGATGTCTACTACAGCTTCACGCCCAGGAAACGCGCTGTATCTGCACCGTCCAGTAGGGATGGCATCAGGCCCGTGGGGTCACTGAGTCCTGGAGGTGCAGACGGTGCAGCCAGCTTCTCATGCCATTCAACTTTGGATAAATTTAAATATCAATAGCTATGTGTGACTCTCATGCTGGACAGTAGATGTAGAAAGTTTCCATCATCACAGAAGACTCTGCTGGTCGGTGCTGGTCTAGAGGGAGCAGTCAGGGTCCTGGGGAGTGAAGGGAGATCCCCACAGTGGATGTGGGAGGACTCAGAGCCTTCTCTGTCCAGCTCAGGACTCTAACTCCTCCTCCTTCTGATTCCTCCCTCCCAGGACCCACGCAGAGGCCGTCGGACAACAGTCACAATGAGCGTGAGTGATGGGGGCCGTGGAGCATGAAGCTGGTGTGTGCCTCTTGGGGAAGGAGAAAGAGGTCAGGCTTTGGGGTTGATCAGATTCCTGCTCTGCCAATGGCAGTCTGTGTCCCTGTGCAGAGGACTCCAGCACTCAGGACCCCGGTGGTGGAAGAAGGGGATAACGATCCCTGTACTGCAGGACTATTATTTACCTAAGATATTTTATATATTAGTAAGTCTATGAAACGCACGTGACGTGTGTGTGGTATACAGTAGGTGCTCAATAAATGCACACTGCTGAAATCCTGTTTCTGTCTTTCTTAGATGCACCTGCTTCCCAAGGCCTGAAAGCTGAGCATCTGTATATTCTCATCGGGGTCTCAGTGGTCTTCCTCTTCTGTCTCCTCCTCCTGGTCCTCTTCTGCCTCCATCGCCAGAATCAGATAAAGCAGGGTAGGTCTCAGGGGCAGGGTGGGGTGACCTGGGAAGCTGTCAGGAGAGGCTAGGAAGAAGGTCTCCTTAATTCACACCCCGACTGTCCTTAGGGCCCCCCAGAAGCAAGGACGAGGAGCAGAAGCCACAGCAGAGGTGAGGCCCCTGGGAATGACTCCTGGACCTCCACCCAGTCCTCGGCCGCCAGGCTGCCCCTGAGGTTCACTTTTATTTTTCCTCTTAGGCCTGACCTGGCTGTTGATGTTCTAGAGAGGACAGCAGGTAAAGGGGGAGGAGGAGGGACAGGCCTGGGATGGGGAAGTGGGGACTTGGTGCCAATCCAGATGCAATGTGGGGGGTGGGGGGAAGAATCTTTGGGAACATTCTAGAAGGTCGTATTATACATTGGGTGCAGGATGTCATCGGAAGCTGGGGGTGGGGGTCTCAGGCAGATTTGCCTTGCGACATCCTCCCCAGAAAACTGACCATGTATTTTCTCCCCAAGACAAGGCCACAGTCAATGGACTTCCTGAGAAGGACAGAGAGACAGACACCTCGGTGAGCCTTCCTACTAGTTATTAAAGTACCCCAAATTTAGCAGCTTAAAAAAATCTCAGTTCCTTGGGTTAGGAATTCAGGAGTGGCTCAGCTGGGCGGTTCCGGCTCACGGCCTGTCCTGAGGTTGCTGTCGAGAGGTCGCCCAGGGCTGTGTGCATCCGAAGGCTCCCGTGGGCTGGAGGATCCACGTCCAAGACGCTCACTTCCCCGGCTGTGGGCAGGAAACCTCTGTTCCTCTCACAGGGGCCTCTCCACACAGCCGGCTTCCCCCAGAGGGAGGGATCCAAGGATGGGTGGCAGGGAGGGGACAGAAGCACCATGTCTTTTGGCTCAGCTTGGAAGTCAGGAGTCTTCCCTTCTGCCTTGTTCATTGTCACGTAAACCAACCCCAATACCCTGTGGGAGGGCTCTTCACACGGATGCAATTTAGGAGAGGGTCCTCAGGGCCCATGGAGATGGCCGCCACAGCCCTCCCTCCCCACAGCCCCTCGCCTCACCCTCCACCAGGCACTCCCTCACCCTGGGTCTCTCCCTCTTAGGCCCTGGCTGCAGGGAGTTCCCAGGAGGTGACGTATGCTCAGCTGGACCACTGGGCCCTCACACAGAGGACAGCCCGGGCTGTGTCCCCACAGTCCACAAAGCCCATGGCCGAGTCCATCACGTATGCAGCCGTTGCCAGACACTGACCCCATACCCACCTGGCCTCTGCACCTGAGGGTAGAAAGTCACTCTAGGAAAAGCCTGAAGCAGCCATTTGGAAGGCTTCCTGTTGGATTCCTCTTCATCTAGAAAGCCAGCCAGGCAGCTGTCCTGGAGACAAGAGCTGGAGACTGGAGGTTTCTAACCAGCATCCAGAAGGTTCGTTAGCCAGGTGGTCCCTTCTACAATCGAGCAGCTCCTTGGACAGACTGTTTCTCAGTTATTTCCAGAGACCCAGCTACAGTTCCCTGGCTGTTTCTAGAGACCCAGCTTTATTCACCTGACTGTTTCCAGAGACCCAGCTAAAGTCACCTGCCTGTTCTAAAGGCCCAGCTACAGCCAATCAGCCGATTTCCTGAGCAGTGATGCCACCTCCAAGCTTGTCCTAGGTGTCTGCTGTGAACCTCCAGTGACCCCAGAGACTTTGCTGTAATTATCTGCCCTGCTGACCCTAAAGACCTTCCTAGAAGTCAAGAGCTAGCCTTGAGACTGTGCTATACACACACAGCTGAGAGCCAAGCCCAGTTCTCTGGGTTGTGCTTTACTCCACGCATCAATAAATAATTTTGAAGGCCTCACATCTGGCAGCCCCAGGCCTGGTCCTGGGTGCATAGGTCTCTCGGACCCACTCTCTGCCTTCACAGTTGTTCAAAGCTGAGTGAGGGAAACAGGACCTACGAAAACGTGTCAGCGTTTTCTTTTTAAAATTTAATTGATCAGGATTGTACGTATTCAAGGTGTAAAATGTGATAATTTGTCGTACACGTACATTGTGCAATGACAGTCACAATCAATTCCTCAGCGCACCCATCACCACGAATACGATACATTAGATATTCTGAACTTGCTCATCTTAGGACTTCACATTGGTGTCAGTGTTTTCTGACAAATCACGTGTATCAGGAATGAATGAGGGAGGTGTGGCTGGGTGAAGGCAGAGAGCCGACCCTACAGGTCCACATCTGCACATACATGCACAGGAATGCATGCTCTCACACACATGCATACACACACGCACACACACAGACATGCACATACACTCACACGCCCCAGGAAATCCAAGGAATCACTGAGCCTGCTGTTGGTTGAGGCATTTCTGAGTATCCACCCTACCTGTAGGGTCAGATGTACTGATTGACACAGAAAATTACCCTATGTACCACTAGGAGGCGGCAGAATCTCATTTGGGTTAATCTGTGTTTGTCTTTAAAAAACAAAAACAGGCCGGGCGCGGTGGCTCACGCCTGTAATCCCAGCACTTTGGGAGGCTGAGGTGGGCGGATCACGAGGTCAGGAGATCGAGACCATCCTGGCTAACACGGTGAAACCCCATCTCTACTAAAAATACAAAAAAATTAGCTGGGCGTGGTGGCGGGCACCTGTAGTCCCAGCTACTCGGGAGGCTGAGGCAGGAGAATGGCGTGAACCCGGGAGGCGGAGCTTGCAGTGAGCCGAGGTGGTGCCACTGCACTCCAGCCTGGGCGACAGAGCGAGACTCCGTCAAAAAAAAAAAGAAAAGAAAAGAAAGATTTTTAAGAATTCAGCAAAAACTCAGCCAGCTCTTTCTATGGGGCAGTTGCTAATTTAGTTCTAGGCAAACGTGGACACATTAAATTCTCCTACAAACCCTCCACAGCGTGCTCTATTATTTTCCTCATTTATAAAAACAGAAACTATGGACCGAGACATGAAGTAACCTGTCCAAGGTCGGCCAAGTCTCAGAGACAGGGGCTTCAGACCCACCTGAGGCTCCTGACTCCACATTATGAACCCCGGGATGGGCTGCAGCTCGGTCTGCTGGGAGGTTTCTGTGCTGGTTCAAAGAGGGTGGTACCTGACTGGCCTACCCAATTTTAATTTGTACTGAGCTTTAATTTTCTATTTGTGCTCAGGTTTAATTTCCTCCTGGGATCTGCTTCCCAGTGCTGTACTCTGTATCTTTGCTTTCTTGTGTGAACATTGTGACCGATTTTCCCTGTTCTTCACGTGGGACACATTCTCCCTGCTCTGTCTGTCTCTGTCCCTGTCTCTCTTTCTGTCTTTCTCTCTCACTGTGTGTCTCTCTGTCTCTCTCTCTCTTTTTTTTTTCTTTGAGATGGAGTTTCGCTCTTGTTGCCCAGGCTGGAGTGCAATGGCGCAATCTTGGCTCACTGCAACCTCTGCCTCCCGGGTTCAAGCGATTCTCCTGCCTCAGCCTCCTGAGCAGCTGGGATTACAGGCATGCACCACCACACACGGCTAATTTTTTGTATTTTTGTTAGAGACGGGGGGCTCTCCATGTTGCTTAGGCTGGTTTTGAACTCCCGACCTCAGGTGATCTGCCCACCTCAGCCTCCCAAAGTCCTGGGATTACAGGCGTGAGCCACTGCGTCCAGCCGTCTTTGTCTCTTTTTCTACATCTCTGTCTTTCTTCTCTGGTTGTTTTTCAACCATCAGCCGGGTGTTTTCCCCCATAACGTCTTGTTTGTTTGACTATGAGGTTGACAGGTGGGTACATGAACTCTATAGCAGAAGGTGGACAGTCTGCACATAGCAGAGGATGGGTGAATTTTTCTACCCCTTGCAGAGCACAGGAGAGCTGAGCAGATGCCAGTGTCTGCTCCAGTGTAAGGAAGTCCAGGAAGTTCAGGTGGTGAGGTCACAGTGGAAAGCAGGACAGATAGAGTTTAGGGGAAATTAAGCAAAAATACCACACTGTTGTTTCTTGACATATTAGTGGAAAGAGGAAGGGCCCAGAGAGAAGACAGAAAATTAGATGCAGGGGCTTGTTTTTTCTCTTGACTTGCCAACCCGCCCAACGCAGGGGCCAGAACTCAGGGTGGTGAGATCTGGGAACATTGCTGTGCGGAGAAGATGTCCCTCCTGCTGCACGGGCCCCCAAGCACCACCTGGGGGAAGAGCCATGTTTAATTCACCTGGCAGTGCAGTGTGGCCAGGCAGAGAGGGAGGGCCTACCCTGTGCTTATGATCCCACCCCAGTTCCCCTGGGGTGTGCCCTGGCGGTGAACACCAGGAGGCTGCAGTGGGGCCCAACGTGAAAGGGAGGAGCAGCCTCACCGGGGCCAGATGGGGCAGCAGCAGATATTCACAGATGTCCCTGTGAGTAACCAGGGCAGAGGCCAGGGGTCTGGCCTTCCCTTTCTTGGAGCCCTGGGCCAGCTGGGCAAGGCGTTGAGAGAAAGATTACCCGGTGACCTTTATCAAAGCAGAGTAAGGAGGGCTTTATTCAGAACCATCACTGTAGGTACCAGGACCCCAGCGGTGGGATTTTGTAGTAGGGGAAAGAAAATGGGCTCGACGTTGAATACAGCATGAACAAGTGAGAATGTTTGTTATACAAACTATAGGGTGGACTTTTTTTTTCTTTTTTTTAACTTTTTTTTTACCTTTTAGTGTAAAACTGAACATAGAAAATAAATTCATGAAGAAGGGATATTTTCTGAGGGTGTCCAGGGCTGCCCAACACCTCTTGTCTACCTTCTCTGTCATAGCCCCATTTAAAACACTCTCTCTGGATGAATACACCAAACCTCACAGTCTTTGCTCTCTTGCTAGGAAGAGGAGCAAGAGCGTGTTTCACTCTTGGCTCCTGCTTACACACCTGCCGTCCAATGGAAACTACTACTTAAGACATTTAAAAATAGTTGTGGTGATAGCATGTTGTGTTTTGGTTGGTGATGCCAGTTAGTCTCTGAAAACTTTCTGTGATGAGTGTAAAATTCTACACCTTAATCTCCTTTCTTGTAGGATCTGGGAAGCAGTATGCACTTGATTGCACCAAAGATTTTACGTTCATAGAAAATTTCTGGCATCTGTGTGAAGAAAGTAAACTATATCTTCCATTTAAACAAATAAAATATCTTTTTGATAAAAGGTGACTATATGTTTAAGTCTTAGGGAGAAGAAAGAATCAAGGAATATAAATGTGTTGATGTCTAAATGCAATTCTGACACTTAACCAGATTTAAAAGTGCTTTGAGAGTCCCCAGAGCTCTGCACCTGCTCTACATCTACTGGGATTTAGAGCTAAAGCTTCCTGAAACCGTTGTTCTGCTTGGTCCTTCAGCAGTGACAACCTGTTCTGTTCCAATTGCTAAGATCTGAGTTGTGAGAGCTGCGGGATGGGAATTTTCCTGTTGCCGTTCCAAGAAGTAAAATGTGCCTCATTTAGTCCTAAATTGTACCTCCATAAAAATCACTTTGGGCCGGGCGCAGTGGCTCACGCCTGTAATCCCAGCACTTTGGCAGGCTGAGGCGGGCGGATCACGAGGTCAGGAGATCGAGACCATCCTGGCTAACACGGTGAAACCCCGTCTATACTAAGAATACAAAAAAATTAGCCGGGCGTGGTGGCAGGTGCCTGTAGTCCCAGCTACTCGGGAGGCTGAGGCAGGAGAATGGCGTGAACCCAGGAAGCGGAGCTTGCAGTGAGCTGAGATCGAGCCACTGCACTCCAGCCTGGGTGTGACAGAGCGAGACTCTGTCTCTAAAAAATAAATAAATAAATAAATAATAAATCACTTTGATAAAGAAAGGACAAGGTCTTTATTTTTTCATGAATTATTGCCGTTATTTAAGGGCATACAGAGCCATCATCACAGCTGGTCTAGGATTCACAGATATTTTCTTGTTGCCTTTATTTACCATCCAGCTCAATTTATTTAGTACACTATATATATTCATTTCTGAAATTGCTTTCTGCTTTTACAGACCCCTCCTCCTTCTCCTATTTGGATTTATTGATTGATCTCCAGAACAAAGTTGCTAAATTTATTACATTTGTTGTGATAAAACATTTTCTTCGCAACAAAAGAAAAAGATTTGTGCACATATACTACGTGAAATGCGTGTTATTTTCTCATTCTTCCACCTTCTCCCCATCCTCTATAACACTGGGGCCAAACTGCTATTGATTATTGTACATTCTTTCGGAAATGTCTTTGATTTTTCTAAAGCATCTTTTTCTTTTAACTAATCTGTACTTTACCAAGATTCTAATTTCCCAAATTTTCATACCAGTTAAATCACATCATAACTTAATAAGTTGTTCATTATTAAAGAAATACAATGTTTTTCAACAATAAAGACAGTCCTATTTTTGATGCATCCTAATTTGAATTCTTTAAAAACCATTTACATTTCAGATCATTATAAAATTTTCGTTAAATTAAACATGACTAAGAAAGCCGGCCAGGCGCGGTGGCTCACGCCTGTAATCCCAGCACTTTGGGAGACTGAGGCGGGCGGATCACGAGGTCAGGAGTTTGAGACCAGCCTGGCCAACATGGTGAAACCCCATCTCTATTAAAAAGACAAAAATTAGCTGGGCGTGGTGTCCTCCCTCCATGCATCCTCAGGATCTGTGTCCTCCCTCCATCCATCCTCAGGATCTGCGTCCTCCCTCCATCCATCCTCAGGATCTGCGTCCTCCCTCCATCCGTCCACCCTCAGGATCTGCGTCCTCCATCCATTCACCCTCAGGATCTGCGTCCTCCCTCCATCCATCCTCAGGATCTGCGTCCTCCCTCCATCCATCCTCAGGATCTGTGTCCTCCCTCCATGCATCCTCAGGATCTGTGTCCTCCCTCCATCCATCCTCAGGATCTGTGTCCTCTCTCCATCCACCCTCAGCGCCCTCTTTCAGAAGATCTGCCCAGAGCATTCTGGTCTTCTTGATGGCTTGGTCTCTCGGTGGGAGAAGCTCTTCCTGGCTATGTGTGGTCAGCCATTGTGGTCCTTTTCTGGTCTTTGAATGTTTCTATAACAGCACTTATAATCATTTGCAGTAACATACAGTTGAGCTTTGAACTCCACAGGTTTGAACTGTGCAGGTCCACTTGTATACAGATTTTCTTTCAATCACAGTTACACGAGTGTGCCTGCCTTTCCTGCTTCCCCTCCCACCTGTTTTACCGCATTTTCTTTTTCTTTAGGTTTTATCTTTAAGTTTATGAGTTATATTTAAAAATATTTTTGCATCATATCTATTCAAGAAAATACACTTATATTTCTAAACCAAAACAAGAAACAAGACACAATTATATCCGTCTAATTTTATTTAATCTCTTCTGCATGGTTTCTCTCTCTCACACAAGTATCCACTTTTAAAGGTTTAGGTCAGGCATGGTGGCTCACGCCTGTAATCCCAGCACTTTGGGAGGCCAAGGCGAGCAGATCACCTGAAGTCAGGAGTCCAAGACCAGCCTGGCCAACATGGTGAAACCGTCTCTACTAAAAATTAAAAAAAAAAAAAATTGGCCAGTGTGGTGGTTGTCAGGCCTCTGAGCTGAAGCTCAGCTATTGTAATCCCTGTGACCTGCACATATACACCCAGATGGCCTGAAGGAGCCAAGAAGTCTGGGGCAGCCGAAAAACCACAAAAGAAGTAAAACAGC
Source organism: Homo sapiens (assembly GCF_000001405.40). Taxonomy (NCBI): domain Eukaryota; kingdom Metazoa; phylum Chordata; class Mammalia; order Primates; family Hominidae; genus Homo; species Homo sapiens. The sequence goes on along the minus strand of NW_003571055.2, from coordinate 330,265 downwards.
CAGTTCCTGCCTTAACTGATTAACCAACATTACGACGTTCCACCACTGTGACTTGTCCCTGCCCCACCTTAACCGATCAATCAACTTTGTGACATTCTTCTTCTGGATAATAAGTCTTATGATGTCCCCACCAGGTACCTTGTGACCTCCTCCTCTGCCAACAATAGATGACCACCTTTTACCGTAATTTTCCTCACCTACCCAACTCCTATAAAGCAACCCCTTCCCCATCTCCCTTCGCTGACTCCTTTCTCAGACTCAGTCCACCTGCACCCAGGTGAATTAAAAGCTTTATTGCTCATACAAAGCCTGTTTGCTGGTCTCTTCACATGGACACGCTTGGCAGTGGTGCATGCCTGTAATCCCAGCTACCCAGGAGGCTGAGGCAGGAGAATCGCTTGAACCCAGGAAGTCAAGGTTGCAGTGAGCAGAGATCGTGCCATTGCACTCCAGCCTGGGTGACAGCATGAGACGCTGTCAGGAAAAAAAAAAACAAAAAACAAAACAAAAAAACTTGACGGGAGGGTTAATTACCATCTTCCTACAACGAGGAAAATGGATGGGGCAGGGGAGGATGTCACCTGCTGAAGGTCAACTGACAGTAAGTATGAACCCTCATGCCTTAAACCAAAGCTTGGGAATTTCTTCCAGTGAATGCTTTGGCCCAAAGCATGGAGACAGAATTCACGGTATCAAATGAAGAGTTATGGACAGGGGAAGAAGAGGTTGTAAATGACTTGGAGATTTGATGGAGTTCCCACTTATAAGTGAGAACATGTGGTATTTGGTTTTCTGTTCCTGTGTTTGTTTACTAAGGATAATGACCTCCAGCTCCATTCACATCTCTGCAACAGACATGATCGCGTTCTGGTGCTGCTACTTATAGAATTAAGAAAGTCGGAGGGAAGAAGTGCTTGGGAGAAACAAAACTAGACAGCAGGGCCAGGAGGGAGATAGTGCTTCCTCTGCACTCCGTGAACAGCCTTATAAATATCTCCCTAGCCTGGTTCTTCCCCGGGATCATTCATCCTGGGATGACACCATTCGTTCCTCCAGTAAACTAAGGCAGAGAGTGAAACAGACCCTAGTTGCTCACTCACTTTTGTTTCACATACAGTGAACAAATCCAAGCAGTTGTACCCTTGAGCCCTCCTCACCCACGTCCCCGGGTCCATTCCCACAGTGCAAGCTCACTGGAGACTGAAGACAGCCTGTCTGTGCCACCACATCAGCCTCCTCCTGGTCCTCTTCTCCAAACCCTCACTCCAGGCTGACATCTATTATTCTCATAGCCCCAACCTTATCTGTAGCTGACTCTTCCCTGATCAAAATCCTTCTCCGGGTCTGAATCTTCCTCCAAGTAAGACACAAGTATCTCTGCCTGATGTTCATGTTGTTGATGACCAGGACTAAGTTAACATCCCCAGCGCCAAAAAACATGGCTCCTTCCTACAGAGCAAATTCATTACAGGAAACCACTTCCGCCTTTTTCCCACCCACCACACCCCAGACAGACACCTGGAGATATTAACATATTTCTGCCTTCTCATAGTCAGCTCCCCGAGAAAATTTTTATTTTTTTATGTTTTAATTTTTTAATTATTTATTTATTTATTTGAGACGGAGTCTTGCTCTGTCTACCAGGCTGGAGTGCAGTGGCGCGATCTCGGCTCACTGCAGCCTCCACCTCCAGGGTTCAAGAGATCTGCCATCTCAGCCTCTAGAGTAGCTGGGATTACAGCCCTGCACCATCACGCCCGGCTAATTTTTTTTTATTTTTGGTAGAGACAGGGTTTTCCCATGTTGACCAGGCTGGTCTTGAACTCCTGACCTCAGAGGATGTGCCTGCCTCGGCCTCCCAAAGTGCTGGGATTCCAGGCGTGAGACACCGCACCCGGCCTATTCTTGTTTTCAAAATCTCGCTCATTTCTGAACTTCTGTGCCAGTGACTTCCTAGGCGAGGAAATGCCCGATGTACCTTTTCTTGGACTCCAGTCCACTCCAGACATTTTGTCTCCACCAGTAACTGTGGCCATTGTGTGGAGGAAGGAACAAAAGCAAGAAAGCGATTTTCTGAGCAGGTTTCTATGAGCACCAGGTTCTCACCCTGGTAGGGGCAACTACAGGACCCGAAAGTTAATCTCCCCTGGGTATGACACCCACTGTGCTACTTTCCTCCCCAAGGAAATATAGCTCCCCAGCTGAACCACCACGTGGGTGTGGGGATGTGAAAAAGGGAAATGAAAGAGAAGGCATATTTATGATTTCAACCACACTGGGAACTCATGGAAGCTGCTGTAGACAACTCAAGCATGAGAGGCCAGGCTAAATTTGGAGAAAAAAGAGATACACAACTCCCATTTTTAGAATCCAAGAGGCCTGGAGTTTGTATTATTATTATTTTATTTTTAGCAGCAACACTTATATGGAAAGTACTTGGACACCTTGAGGTCTGCGTGAAAGTTGACTCCAATTGTGATGAGTACGGAAGCTCCTATCTCAGGATTCTCATTTTAGGGAAAATCACTGCTGGTCTGGATTTGTTTTTGTGTGTTTTTTTGGGTTTTTTTTTGTTTGTTTGTTTGTTTTTGAGACGGGGTCTTGCTCTGTCGCCCAGGCTGGAGTGCAGTGGCGCGATCTCGGCTCACTGCAAGCTCTGCCTCCTGGGTTCATGCCATTCTCCTACCTCAGCCTCCCGAGTAGCTGGGACTACAGGCACCAGCCACCACGCCCGGCTAATTTTTTGTATTTTTAGTAGAGACGGGGTTTCCCTGTGTTAGCCAGGATGGTCTCGATCCCCTGACCTTGTGATCCGCCCGCCTCGGCCTCCCAAGTTGCTGGGATTACAGGCACGAGACACCGCGCCCAGCCTCTGGTCTGAATTTAACTCCGGACAGCTCTTTCTTTCTTTTTTTTTTTCTTTCTTTCTTTTTTTTTTTTTTGAGACAGAGTCTCGCTCTGTCACCCAGGTTGGAATGCAGTGGCGCGATCTCGGCTCACTGCAAACTCCGCTTCCTGAGCTCAAGCAATTATCTCCCTCAGCCTCCCCAGAAGCTGGGATTACAGGTGCCCGCCACCACGCCTGGCTACTTTTCATATTTTTAGGAGAGACGGGGTTTCACCTTCTTGGCCAGGCTGGTCTTGAACTCCTGACCTCATGATCCACCTGCCTCGGCCTCCCCAAGTGCTGGGATTACAGGCGTGAGCCACCGCACCCGACCACGGACAGCTCTTTCTAACCAGAATCATCACCTGGACTTCTGAGGCTTGAAGAAAAGATGAATCCTCTTCTCACTCACTTGATTAAAAAAAAAAGTTGGGGTCAGGTACGGTGGCTCACGCCTGTAATCCCAGCACTTTGGGAGGCCGAGGCGGGCGGATCACGAGGTCAGGAGATCGAGACCATCCTGGCTAACACGGTGAAACCCCGTCTCTACTAAAAATACAAAAATTTAGCCGGGCGTGGTGGTGGGCGCCTGTAGTCCCAGCTACTCGGGAGGCTGAGGCAGGAGAATCGCTTGAACCAGGGAGGCGGAGTTCGCAGTGAGCCGACATCGCGCCGTGGCACTCCAGCCTGGGCAACAGAGCAAGAGTCCATCTTGAAAAAAAAAAAAAAGATGAGTCCATTCGCAGATCTTTCACTTTGAAAATCGAATCTAGAGGTTCTTCAAGTTCTGATGACTCTAATCACACACATATCTCAAAACCCTCATGACCTCCACTTCCTGCATCAACCTGATCCAAGCACCTGTCATTTCTCACCAGATCAATTCGCCCACCAGTGATCTCCATCTGTTGCTTCCTCACGTTCTCCTGAAATTCATTTCCCCCAGTAAAGCCGATTTATCCTCTTCATGTTCATTCATGCAATATAAAAACACAGATACAGCCGGGCGGGGTGGCTCACCCCTGTAATCCCAGCACTTTGGGAGGCCGAGGTGGGCAGATCACCTGAGGTCAGGAGTTCAAGACCAGCCTGGATAACATGGTGAAACCCCATCTCTACTGAAAACAAACAAACAAACAAAAAAATACAGGCCGGGTGCGGGCTCACTCATGCCTGTAATCCCAGCACTTTGGGAAGCCAAAGAGGGTGGATCACCTGAGGTCAGGAGTTTGAGACCAGCCTGGCCAACATAGTGAAACCCCGTCTCTACTAAAAATACAAAAAATTAGCTGGGCGTGGTGGCGGGCACCTGTAATCCCAGCTACTCGGGAGGTGAGGCAGGAGAAGCACTTGAACCTGGGAGGCAGAGGTTGCAGTGAGCCAAGATCGCGCTACACCACTGCACTCCAGCCTGGGCAATAAGAGTCAGACTTCATCTAAAAAAACAAACAAACAACAACAACAACAAAAACAAAACAAAACAAAAAACTCACACACAAATATATTTACCAGTGGGCACACAGGTGATCCTTGTTCCCTCAAAAAAAAGAAACACACACACAAACATATATTTACCAACGGGCATAGAGGTGATCCTTGCTCCCATCTTCTCAATTTCCATCTCCAGAGGCAATCAAGTACCTCTTTATTCTGTTTCCTCTCAGAGACACCCCGTTTATGTACATTTCTCCACACGCCGTGCTCTGAGACTCATGGCTGTATTGCAGATAAGTGTTTTTATTTCTCACTTTATTTCTGTATTGATTTTCAGTTAACAATTGATTGCACATGTCGATGTTCATACGTCTGTTTGCACATCTGGAAATACAGCTCTGTACCACTTTTTCCGTTTCCTCATTCTCATATACATTTTAGACACACTAGGAACATTTCTGCATTTTCTGGTATCAAAATACCGCAATCATCTGCTCCTATGTTGGGCAATATTACCTTTCTGGATCCTCCTCTTGCTCATTGTTCAGTCTTTACCTAACCTGTCACATCCTCAAAAACATTTTTTTTAATGACAAACTGGGTTAAGTGATCTTTGCCCCTAGTACTCACTGCTTTTGTTTGTTTGTTTTTGTTTTGTTTTTTAACAGAGTCTCCCTCTGTCACCCAGCATGGAGTGCAGTGGCAAGATCTCGGCTCACTGCAATCTCTCCCTCCTGGATTCAAGCGATTCTCCTGCCTCAGCTTCCTGAGTAGCTGGGATTACAGGTGCCCACCACCAGACCCAACTAATTTTTGTGTTTTTAGTAGAGATGGGGTTTCGCCATGTTGGCCAGGCTGGCACTGTTTTTTTTTTTTTTTTTATAAGGGCAACACACATTCAAGACCTCTAGGTGGCTTAAATTTTGTGCATTTATGCCTCTGTGTGTTGTTTTTAAATAATAGTTCATCTCTTTTGTATTTTTGCTTAATTCATCTGACTTTCTCCATTTCTATTACAAATTGAATGAACAATGGGAGGTTTTGTTCACTATAGTGTTTCTTATTCCTGAAAAAGTTACTTGGAATCTATGACTATTCTCTCATTAATTGTAAAACAAAACAGATAAATGGACAGAAGAATAGTGAGATTATTACTTGGGTTATTAGTAGTACTATTAAGTTGAACCAGAGAATGCAGAGAGCTGAGTGAGGTACAAAAAAAGAAAAGGGGGCCGGGCTCAGGCCTGTAATCCCAGCACTTTGGGGGGCCGAGGCAAGCGGATAATGGGGTCAGGAGATCGAGACCATCCTGGCTAACATGAAGTCCCATCTGTACTAAAAATACAGAAAATTAGTCAGGTATGGTGGCACATGCCTGTAGTCCCAGCTACTCAGGAGGCTGAGGCAGCAGAATCGCTTGAACCCGGGAGGCGGAGGTTGCAGTGAGCTGAGATCGCACCACTGCACTCCAGCCTGGGCGACAGAGCAAGACTCCCTGACCAAAAAAAAAATAAGGCCAGGCACAGTGGCTCACACCTGTAATCCCAGCACTTTGGGAGGCAGAGGCGGGTAGATCACAAGGTCAGGAGATCAAGACCATCCTGGCTAACACGGTGAAACCCCGTCTCTACTAAAAATACAAAAAATTAGCCAGGCATGGTGGCGGGCGCCTGTAGTCCCAGCTACTCAGGAGGCTGAGGCAGGAGAATGGCGTGACCCCGGGATGCGGAGCTTGCAGTGAGCTGAGATTGCACCACTGCACTCCAGCCTGGGCAACAGAGCGAGACTCCATCTCAGAAAAAAAAAGAAAGAAAGAAAGAAAAGAAAAGGCAGTCACAGCCTTTGGCTGCTTCATATTCCTGGCCCTGGGACACCAGGAGCCCCACATGCAGATCTATGGATTCCATACTGACAGCTGACGCATTACTAGAGGTCAAAGCGTGAGGCTTAGGTTTAACTAATTTTGGGACTAATCTGAGACCAGGGAATAGCAGAGTTAAGCATTCCAGAGGTTGGAGATTTTTGTCCTCTGTCCCTGAGTTGTTGTAAAACCAAACCCGCAATATCTCTGCAGCTGAGAAGTTGTCTGTGACTTCAACAAGGCCCAGGAACCTGAACATATTTGAGGAAGGGACCATAGGGTTCTAAGCCCAAGCTGGGAGTTGGGGTCAGCAAGGATCTCATACAATTCTCCCATGAGAAGGGAGGAGAGTTGTGAAGGAGCCAGGGCATAGTGGGTTACAGGCCCTGGAGGGGGATACAATGGTGGGTTACACACCCTGAGGGGGATAAAATGGTGGGTTACACACCCTGGTTGGGGGATACAGTGGTGGGTTACATGCCCTGGAGGTGGGGAGGATACAATGGTGGGTTACATGCCCTGGTGGGGGGATACAATGGTTACACGCCCTGGGGGGGATACAATGGTGGGTTATGTGCCCTGGTTGGGGGATACAATGGTGGGTTATACGCCCTGGTCGGGGGATACAATGGTGGTCTGGCTACTCATGCCCCACCTCATTCTTATTCATAGGTGTCTGATATGGTTCGGTTCTGTGTCTCCACCCAAATCCCACCTTGGATTATAATAATCCCCACATGTCAAGGGCAGGACCAGGTGGAGATTATTGAATCATGGGGGCGGTTTCCCCTGTACTGTTCTCGTGATAATGAGTGAGTTCTCATGAGATCTAATGGTTTTATAAGGGGCTTCCCCCTTCGCTCCACTCTCATTCTCTCTCCTGCCGCCCAATAAGAGGTGCCTTCCACCATGATTGTAAGTTTCATGAGGCCTCCCCAGACATATGGAACTGTGAGTCAATTAAACGTCTTTTCTTATAAATTACCCAGTCTTGGGTAGTTCTTCATAGCAGAGTGAGAACAGACGCATACAGAGTCCCTGATCCTCTCAACCAACCTCCACCAAGTATAGACCCATAGTGAGGAATAACTGGGACTCCCCTTTCCAGAGTGTAGATGTGTAAACACCCATCCAGGGCTTCCGAGGTGAGTGTGGCCAGTCTAGCCCTCAGCAAATGCTCCATTCTGTCTACTGACCACGCCCCTCCAGCCTCTGCCATGGAGAATCTCATCCCAATGACCATGCTGTGTTGATCCCGGTGGCCTCTGGGGGATGCTCGTTCAGGCTCAGCACAGCCAGAGAAGGCCCCAGACGGCTTCCCTCATGAAAACTCAAGTTGAGTGTGGATTTACTGCTTACAGTTTGCAGAACCTTGGAGAATCTGCAGAAAAAAACTGAGATAGGGCGGGAAGAATCTGGAGGAGCGGAGGCATGTTCCGGGTGAACAAGGTGCTGCTGCATTCAAGAGGACTATTATTTTTTTCAGGTACAGGTGTGCAAGAAGGAGTTAATCTCACAGCTGCAAGGGTGATAACGTTGGGAGAGTTTGCTTGTAAAGTTGGTCCTTAGCTGGCATCTAGTTCCTAAACATGGCTCCTGGAATGTTCCCTATGTTCCTAAGAGATAAGCTGGTGTTGTGTGACTGCAGCACTGAATTCTACTGTGTCTTGACTAGGCCATTTCCGCAAACAATGTAGCTCACTGTTGATGAGTTTGTAAAAAAAAAAAAAATGCTGATGAACAGCAGCTTTTCCCTGGTTTCCCTGTGACTGACCATTATGCCTATATGGCCCCCACCTAATAACAACCTTGAACATTGAGTCTTAAGCAGGTTTGCCTGGAACCAACACTTCACATGCATTGCTACATTTTTTATGCTGATGGAATGATTAAGACAAGACATAGATTTTCACAGCTTATGACCAGCATTCTTGATCTTAAATATATTTTGGTAAAGTTTTTTTTTTTCAAAAAGGTAAAAAAAAATTGCTCTTCTAGAAGGATAAAATGGACACAAGTTTTTATTTAGCTTACTATTAACGAGGGAACGGGAAAGATGTTAATACTGAATTCAAAGAAGAATCCGTAGAGCAGACATTTAGGGGCTGGTAATGTTTAAGGGGATTCAAAAATGAGCCTAATTTTTGTTATTTTTAGTATAGAGACGGGGTTTCACCATGTTGGCCAGGCTGGTCTTGAACTCCTGACCTCAGGTGATCTGCCCGCCTGGGCCTCCCAAAGTGCTGGGATTACAGGTGCGAGCCACCGTGCCCGGCCATAGAATTGATTTTTAAGTGTGTTAATTCTACCTACTATTTTCACCACAGCCACATCTGCCTACATAATTTCTAGTTGTCTATCTCTTCTCAAATACACTGCATGCTGTCCATCTACCCCCATGCACATGATCTTACAAAGAACATTTCTCCCAGAGACGACTCAGAAATCAGGCCTGTCCAGAGCGGGTGGTTACAGCTGCTCCTGTCCAGGAGCATCAACTCTTCCAAACTTAGCATCTGCCCAAAGTTGTGGCTGGCAAGGCGGAGTCCAATGTGACCTCCCACTCACGTGTGGGACAGATGTCCAGGTGTGACAATACCACAGACAGCCTGTTTTTCACACACACACAGGGGAGATGGAGCCTCCTCCATGGGGAGGCTCTGAGAGGGAAGGAGGAACCGTCAGTCCCTCTCACCTGGAAGGGGCTGAATCAAGAAGGCACCGGGTCTGTTTGCTGCTACATCCTGGCCCTTGGTGAGATGAGGACAGATTAGATAGACGCAGCCAAAGTGAGGGGAGAGCCCATTTCTGTCTGTAATATCTCTAGAGAGCCTGGTGTTCACGCCCAGGACAAGCCCTGGGGAAATGAGAGCCAAGCTCCTGGGGAGGGGCAGTTCCTCTTTCTGCCCCTCATGGCTCCCACAAGGAAGCAGAGAGATGGCAGTGCCCATGTGCAAACACAGAAGAGGGGCAGCCACAGCGTCTCACTTTCACCTGGAGCCCTAGGTTCCTCCCTGTCTGTGAGGACCCTGGACTTCCTTTTCTGTGCCACACAGAGATGGAAACGTCCTTTTTTTTTTTTTTTTTGAGATAGAGTTTTGTTCTTGTTGCCCAGGCTGGAAGGCAATGGCGTGATCTCGGCTCACTGCAGCCTCTGCCTCCGGAGTTCAAGTGATTCTCCCGCCTTAGCCTCCCGAGTAGCTGGGATTACAGGCATGTGCCACCACGACCGGCTCATTTTTGTATTTTTAGTAGACACGGGGTTTTGCCATGTTGGCCAGGCTGGTCTCGAACTCCTGACCTCAAGTGATCCACCCACCTTGGCCTCCCAAAGTGCTGGGATGACAGCTGTGAGCCACAGCGCCCGGCCGAAAATGTCCTTCTTAACGACCCCCTTGTGAATCCCCATTTGTGTCTGAAATATCGGCAGAGAGCCTGGTGCTCACCCCCAGGACAAGCCCTGGGAAATGAGAGCCAGGGTCCTGGGGAGGGGCAGTTCCTCTTTCTGTCGGTGTGCTGATGGGACAACCTCGTGATGGGGAGGACCCAGCCTCCGTGTGCCCGCACACCATGTGTCTGTCTGTGTCTACGGGCACCGTGGCCACACCTGCCTGCACAGCCAGGGCCAGGAGGAGGAGATGCCATGACCCTCATTCTCACAAGCCTGCTCTTCTTTGGTGAGATCTTAAGAGGGGGAGGAGAGACCCTAGTCTAGGAGAGAGACCCCAATCCATAGCCATGCCTTAGTCAATTAGGGCATCCCAGGGGCTCAAGGAAAAGAAGAAGACCTGCTCAGGCTTCGGAGGCAAATCTCTCACAGGGAACTCTCTTCCAGGGCTGAGCCTGGGCCCCAGGACCCGGGTGCAGGCAGGTGAGTCTGTCCCCAGCTGTCCTAGGTCCCTCCTCCTCTCTGGGGACAAGGGACCACCCCTGGGCAGCTGGGGGTGAAGACAGCAGTTCTGGGCTGACTGATGGGGATGAGGGGGGTCCTGGGGCTGAGAGCTGGGATCTGAGGGTTGAGGACATCTTGGGACCTAACCTGTAATTTCCTTCCAGAAAACCTACCCAAACCCATCCTGTGGGCCGAGCCAGGTCCCGTGATCACCTGGCATAACCCCGTGACCATCTGGTGTCAGGGCACCCTGGAGGCCCAGGGGTACCGTCTGGATAAAGAGGGAAACTCAATGTCGAGGCACATATTAAAAACACTGGAGTCTGAAAACAAGGTCAAACTCTCCATCCCATCCATGATGTGGGAACATGCAGGGCGATATCACTGTTACTATCAGAGCCCTGCAGGCTGGTCAGAGCCCAGCGACCCCCTGGAGCTGGTGGTGACAGGTGAGAGGACACTCAGGGGTCCCAGCCCCAGGCTCTGCCCTCGGGAAGGGGGTCGGCTCTCAGCTCTCGAGGGGTCTCCCTTCTCACAGCCCAGCCTTGTAGGATAAGGTGGGAGGTGTGAGCCCCATTTAAACACGGCTGCCTTTTTTTCTCTTGAAAGCCTACAGCAGACCCACCCTGTCCGCACTGCCAAGCCCTGTGGTGACCTCAGGAGTGAACGTGACCCTCCGGTGTGCCTCACGGCTGGGACTGGGCAGGTTCACTCTGATTGAGGAAGGAGACCACAGGCTCTCCTGGACCCTGAACTCACACCAACACAACCATGGAAAGTTCCAGGCCCTGTTCCCCATGGGCCCCCTGACCTTCAGCAACAGGGGTACATTCAGATGCTACGGCTATGAAAACAACACCCCATACGTGTGGTCGGAACCCAGTGACCCCCTGCAGCTACTGGTGTCAGGTGAGGAAGCCGTAGCTTTTCCTTATACAAAGTCAGGGCACCAGGTGAGCTGTTGGGAGCCTTACCCTCGGGCTAGCCCACGCAAGAAGAAAAGATGAGGGGAAGATGGGGGCCCTGGGGACACAAATACAGAATGAGAAAAAAACAAGGACGCTGGAAACCCTAGTGAGGAAGGCTACAGAAGGAAGGGGCGCAGGAGGAACCAGCCGCTCCGAGTCCCGACTCATCTTTCCCTCCAGGCGTGTCTAGGAAGCCCTCCCTCCTGACCCTGCAGGGCCCTGTCGTGACCCCCGGAGAGAATCTGACCCTCCAGTGTGGCTCTGATGTCGGCTACATCAGATACACTCTGTACAAGGAGGGGGCCGATGGCCTCCCCCAGCGCCCTGGCCGGCAGCCCCAGGCTGGGCTCTCCCAGGCCAACTTCACCCTGAGCCCTGTGAGCCGCTCCTACGGGGGCCAGTACAGATGCTACGGCGCACACAACGTCTCCTCCGAGTGGTCGGCCCCCAGTGACCCCCTGGACATCCTGATCGCAGGTGAGGAGCCCAGCGGGTTCAGTCAGGGGGACCCAGGCTCTGCACAGGCCCTGCTGGGGGAGCCCAGGTGGTGATGGCCGGGATGAGGGGTGGGGGTCCTAAGGGAGGGAGAGACAGACAGAGACAGGGGATGGGCGGGGAGGGGGAGACTCAGAGAAGACAGAGACAGACTGAGGGTCCCAGGGAGAGGACTGGTGGGGAGGTCTCAGCTCAGAACAAGGTGGGGCAGCCCCTCACCCGTCCTTCTTTTCTCCAGGACAGATCTCTGACAGACCCTCCCTCTCAGTGCAGCCGGGCCCCACGGTGACCTCAGGAGAGAAGGTGACCCTGCTGTGTCAGTCATGGGACCCGATGTTCACTTTCCTTCTGACCAAGGAGGGGGCAGCCCATCCCCCGTTGCGTCTGAGATCAATGTACGGAGCTCATAAGTACCAGGCTGAATTCCCCATGAGTCCTGTGACCTCAGCCCACGCGGGGACCTACAGGTGCTACGGCTCACGCAGCTCCAACCCCTACCTGCTGTCTCACCCCAGTGAGCCCCTGGAGCTCGTGGTCTCAGGTGAGGGCGCTGACCCTGTCCACTCTGAGCTCAAAGGGGTTCTTGGAAATGAAAAAGGAGAGCTTCCAAGAGAGTGTCCGTCTGTCTGTCTCACTTGCTGCCCCACTTCTTCCTCCATCAGCCCCGGCCTTTGTGAGCCCTGAGCCTCTCTCAGCTCAGGCCCTGCCCCCAGGAGAGTTCAGGACACTAAGAAAACAGGACAGTGAAGGGGGAGGGTCCACAGGGGAGGGCCCAGCCCATGGAAGGGTGGAAATACATGGGAACCTCCCACCGAGGGGAAGGTCCAGCCTATGGGAGTGTGGAAATAGATGAGGACTTCCCACCCTGGGCTCCCACCCCTGAAGTCTCAGTAGGGTAAAGAGTGGAGAGGGCTGCAAGCAGGTGGGGGTGAGCCTTGGAGGAGATGAGATTAGACTGAGGGTGGAAGACGGAGGCCCCACCTGCTCCCTTCCTGATGTCTCCATCTCAGAATCAACATCTGGGTGTCCCCAGCCTCTAAGTCCTGACCCCGTGGGAGATGAAAGCGCAGTTACTCTGACCCAGTATAATATTCTAGACTCATCTCAACCTTATCTCCAATATTCAGGAAAGGGGTCTGTTCCTCAGAGGAACAGAGGGGAGAGTGGACAATAAGGGCGTGGTCCACGTGGCTTCCTGGGGCTCTGAGGATGGAGCAGGTGTTCCCTCTGTGGTGGTCAGAGGGGAGGGAGGTGTCCTAGAACCAGGCAGGAAGAAGGGAGCAGCAATGATAGGTGGAGGAGTCAGGTCTGTCCTCCCCTACCTGAGCGGGATTTGGGGTCCGGGGGTCCAGGCCTGACATGGACAAGGGGAAGATGCTGGGGCTGATGTTTATATCAGCCATAAAAAATTGGAAATTTCACGTTTATATTTCCAAATTGTAAGCCCATCTTTCTCATCTCAAATATGAATATATACGTAGTTACATATATACTTTAAAAACAAATATCTAAAGCCACGTATACATATGTATCTATAATCATTGTATTCATCTGTTCTCACACTGCTGTAAAGAACTACCTGAGGCCGGGCACGATGGCTCACGCCTGTAATCCCAGCACTTTGGGAGGCCGAGGTGGGCCGATCACCTGAGGTCAGGAATGAAAGACCAGCCTGGCCAACATGGCGAAACCCTATCTCTACTAAAAATACAAAAATTAGCTGGGCATGGTGGCGGGTACCTGAATCCCAACTGCCTTGGAGGCTGAGGCAGGAGAATCGCTGGAACCCAGAGGCAGAGGCTGCAGTGAGCTGAGATCGCACCACTGCACTCCAGCCTGGGGGACAGAGCAAGACTCCGTCTCAAAAACAAACAAACAAACAAACAAAAACCTACCTGAGACTGGGTAATTTATAAAGGAAAGAGGTTTAATTAACTCACGGTTCCACAGGCCATACAGGAAGCCTGGCTGGGGAGGCCTCGGGAAACTTACAATCATGGCAGAAGGCGGAGGGAAAGCAGGAACTTCTTCTATGGCTGGAATAGGAGGAAGACAGAGAAGGGGGAGGTGCTACCCACTTTTAAATAACAAGATCTCGTGACAACTCACTATCATGAGAGCAGCCAGGGGGAAGCCAATCACCTCCCACTGGGCCTCTCCTCCAACATTGGGGATTACAATTCAACATGAGATTTGAGAGAGACACAAATGCAAAGCATGTTAATCACATATATTTTATAAACCATGTTAATCACATATATTTTATATGAATATATGTGCTATGTACATATATAGACACAAACATATATTCAAGTATTCAATCCTGTGCTTAATATTTTTCATCAGATTTTTAAATATTTATTTGTTTTTATTTTTTATTATTATTTTATTTTATTTTATTTTTTTTGAGACGGAGTCTCACTCTGTCGCCCAGGCTGGAGTGCAGTGGTGCGATCTCGGCTCACTGCAAGCTCCGCCTCTGGGGTTCACGCCATTCTCCTGCCTCATCCTCTCAAGTAGCTGGGACTACAGGAGCCCACCACCATGCCAGGCTAATTTTTTTTTTTTTTTTTGTATTTTTAGTAGAGATGGGGTTTCACCGTGTTAGCCAGGATGGTCTCAGTCTCCTGACCTTGTGATCCGCCCGCCTCAGCCTCCCAAAGTGCTGGGATTACAGGCGTGAACCACCGCGCCTGGCCTTTATTTTTTATTTTACTTTAAGTTCGGGTATGTTTTTAAATATTTGCTTTTCACCTTCCAATCTAGGTTCATACTTCAAAAAAGCAGAAATGATGTTTTTCTGTCCCACTTAGTCATTATCATTTAGAAAAGAATACATTTTCATATTTAAGCATATCACATTGTAGGTTTCCTAACTATATGAAGAATTAGTTAACAAGACATTAAATGGATGATGAAACCACAGGGGAGCTGTCTGAGGCGCACACAGTGGGGGCCGTTGCAGCCTCCAGCCCTTGCTTGTGCTCCTGACTTCCAAGAGTGACTGAGGACCAACTCCTCATCCACAGAGACTGGGTCCTCATCCACTGAAAAATGGAAATTTCTGTCTCTGGGGGAATTAGTTGTTGTGTTCTTGTTGCACAAGATTGCACATCCAAGACAGCACACAAGAGCTCAATTCTTTCTAGTTGGGGGATCATTCTTCTTACTAATCCTGAGCTCCTGGGCTCAAGTAAACTTTGTTTCAAAGTGACTCAGGCACAAGATCTGAATTCCCAGAGCACAGAGAGGTTGAAAAACCCAATGACGTACCAGGGGAGGCCTGTGAGAGCAGAGAATGTGTTCACTAAGGATCTACATAAAGTCACACCATGAGAGGTGGAGGAATATAAGAATGCATTGCCCAGGGGAGAGGCTCTTCAGCTTCTCACCAACATCCTTATTCTTTGATTCTTAGGAGCAACTGAGACCCTCAATCCAGCACAAAAGAAGTCAGATTCCAAGACTGGTGAGTGAGGAGATTCTCCCAGTTATGGGGCTGGGCACAGAGGGTCAGGTCCTGTCAAGGGGAGGTGGGTACCCTGGGTGGACATCCAGGGGTCTTTGGTAATTGTGATCTGCCCTGACCTCTGTGACCTCTTTGTCCACCATCCCTAGCCCCACACCTCCAGGATTACACAGTGGAGAATCTCATCCGCATGGGTGTGGCTGGCTTGGTCCTGCTGTTCCTCGGGATTCTGTTATTTGAGGCTCAGCACAGCCAGAGAAGCCCCCCAAGGTGCAGCCAGGAGGCAAACAGCAGAAAGGACAATGCACCCTTCAGAGTGGTGGAGCCTTGGGAACAGATCTGATGATCTGAGGAGGTTCTGGAAGACTGGGGCAGCAGTTGGGGAAGTGTCTGCTGAGAATATCAAGGGGAAGAAGCATGGGTCAGGTGCAGGAAGATGTCTGGGTGTCTGTAGAAGATGCTTCCTCCATTAAACTGTGGTGCTTTCCTCCTCATTGTCGACTCTCCTTGACTGCCCCTTCCTTCGTTTTTCTTCCCTATGATGTAAGGCTTCACCCCTATGGTGGGTTTGGGTCCGCCCCTCTGTGACCTCATGCTCTGCTCCACTTTCAGGTAATACACCTTTCTTTATTTCTAACTACTGCATTTTCTAATGTGTATTACTGGGACTATCTCTTCAGCTCATAACATGGAATTTGCTTTTGATAATTAAATCCATGGGCAAAAATCAGATTCGTGTTTGGAAAATCTAAGTTCAAAGTGATGCTGTACCACCTGTCACTCTTCATCTGTAGTTTCTCCAGAGATACAGTCACTAGGAATCAAAAGAGAAGTGTTTGATGGAAAAGCCTGCTGTTGTGCGCATAGACTGGCTTCCTGAACAACAACAAAAAAGTTTTCTAAAAAGCATTTATTTGTGGAATTTGTTGATGACTGTGGTATAAACACTCCCTTCATGGGCACCTTCAAGATTCTCACATGACTGCACCTCCCCCTACCTGCTATCACACCGCAGTCGGAGCTGGTGGTCTTGGGTGAAAGGCCCTGACCCTGTCCTCTCTAAGTTCAAAGACTCAGCTCAGGCCCTGCCCCCAGGAGAGCTCTGGGCAGAGATGGAGTGAAGGGGGCTCTGAGGGAGGCTCAGCCACAGAGGAATTCACCCCTCAGAGGAGAAGAAGCCAACAGGAGTTCTCCCTCTTCTCCTTCACCTGGAGTCCAGAAGGTGCTAGGTGGGAAGAGGGAGGGTCTTGGAGAGGCCACTGGGCAGATGGAGAGGAGAGCTTTGAGTGGAGGTGGGGACTCCAGGATAGCTCCAATTCCTCACTCCCTTTCTGTGCTCCTTCCCAGGACCCTCCAGGGGCCCCAGCCCTCCACCCATAGGCTCCTTCTCCATACCTGGTGAGTCATTGAGGCCTCTGGGCTCAGAGGGAGGGTGGCCTCCCCCAGGGCAGTCCTGAGTCTCCCAGATGATCCCATTCCCCTCAAGGACTCAAGCACGAGCTTCCCTCCAGGGAGCTGAGGCAGAGCCAGAGGAGGGGCCACAGGCTCCCCGGGGCTCTGAGGCTGGGCTGGTGAGGGGTGGGGGTCGAGGCAGAGGGAGATGTTGGGGCCCAGCCTGGGGAGGAGCAGCCGGGCTGACGTGGGGAGCAGGGCAGCCCCAGCCCTCACCTCCCCATCCTGACCCAGCAGGCCCTGAGGACCAGCCCCTCACCCCCACAACGTCAGGCCCCCACAGTGCTAAGTGAGGGGCTTTGAGTGGGAGATGGGCGGGGTCCAGGGGAGGAAGGGCTGAGTTCTGTCATCGGTTTGAGGCTCCTCTGGAGGTGGTGATGTGGACAGGCCCCTCCTCTGCCTGGGCCTCAGTTTCTCCAAGTGTAAAGGAGAGAGGCCTGCGGGTGGGAAAGTTCCTTTCAGCTCTGACTCCCAGCTGTGACCTCCTGGGAGAGGAGGCCTCCCAGGGAAACTCCCAGACCCGATTCCACAGGGGCCTGTCCTGTCCCACCTGCAGCAGAGACGGTGACCTGGGGCAGGGGAGGGGAGCAGAGGCTCATGTGTCCAGAGAGTCTGGGGTCCTCCTGAGCTCCCCCACCCAGGGAAAACCAGAGCCAGGCCCAGGGAAAAGCAGTTTCCCTTCCTGTGGGTCCACAGCTGTGGGTACCTGGACGGGCAGCAGCAGGCTCTGAGTGACCACATCCGTGTGTCTGTCTGTCCTGGAGGGCCCTGTGGTCTCCTCTCCCACAGCTGGAGCCCCCAGAGCAGGCATCACGGTGTTCGTGCTTCTCTGCCTCAGTCAGTGATGGAGGGAGAAGGGGCTACCAGGTTCTCCACGAGCCTCCCTCTTACTCCAGCCCCTGGGCTCTCAGGTTGGGGGGCACAGTTGTTCTGGGCTGAGGGTGATAAAACAGAGAGGGGTTTTGGACTAAACTAGAGAACCAGGAGTGAAAGAGATCTTGGGACCCAGCCTCTGGTTCCATTTCAGGGCCCTTCCCCAAACCCTCCCCATGGGCTGAGACAGGCTCTGTGATCACCTGGGAGAGGCCTGTGACCCTCTGGTGTCAGGGGAACCTGGAGGCCCAGGAGTACCGATTGGATAAAGAGGGAAGCCCAGGGCCGGTCGCGGTGGCTCATGCCTGTAATCCCAGCACTTTGAGAGGCCAAGGCAGGCAGATCATGAGGTCAAGAGATCGAGACCATCCTGGCCAACATGGTGAAACCCCGTCTCTACTAAAAATACAAAAATTAGCTGGGCGTGGTGGTGTGCACCTGTAGTCCCAGCTACTTGGGAGGCTGAGGTGGGAGAATCACTTGAACCCGGGAGGCGGAGCTTGCAGTGAGCTGAGACTGTGCCACTACACTCCAGCCTGGTGACAGAGCAAGACTCCAACTAAAAAAAAAAGAGGGGGCTGGGCGTGGTGGCTCATGCCTGTAATCCCAGCACTTTGGGAGGCTGAGACGGGCGGATCATGAGGTCAGGAGATCGAGACCATCCTGGCTAACATGGTGAAACCCTGTCTCTACTAAAAATACAAAAAATTAGGTGGGTGTGGTGGTGGGCGCCTGTAGTCCCAGCTACTCGGGAGGCTGTGGCAGGAGAATGGCGTGAACCCGGGAGGCGGAGCTTGCAGTGAGCCCAGATCACGCCGCTGCACTGCAGCCTGGGTGACAGAGCAAGACTCCGTCTCAAAAAAAAAAAGAAAAAAAAAAAAAAAAGAGGGAAGCTCAGTGTCCTGGGACAGACAGAGCCCACTGCAGCCTGGAGACAAGGCCGAGTTCCCCCATCATATCCATGACAAATGAATATGTAGGATGATATTACTGTCACTATTTCAGCCCCAGAGCTCACTGACTCCCTGGAGCTGGTGGTGATAGGTGGGAGGACACCTTGGGGTCCCAGCCCCAGGCTCTGCCCTCAGGAAAGGGGTCTGCTCTCAGGGGTGTCTCTCCCTCACAGCCCAGCCCTAAGGGATAAGGTGGGAGGCTTGAGCCTCAAGGATCACACTACCTCCTTCTCTCCTAGGATTCTACAGAAAATCTACCTTCTCAGCCCCCCTGAGCCTGTTGCAACTTTAGGAGAGGACTCTCCAGCGTGGCTCATGGCTGCAACTGGACAGATTCATTCTGACCGAGGAAGGAGAACTCAGTCTCTCCTGCACCCTAGACTCTCAGCAACACCCTAGTGGACAGTCCCAAGCTCTGTTTCCTGTGGGCCCCAAGACCCTCAGCCACAGATGGATGTTCAGATGTCATGGCAATAACAGGAACACCCTTCAGGTGTGGTCGGAACTCAGCGACTCCCTGAAGCTCCTGTTCTCAGGTGAGGAAGTCAGAACACCCTTCAGGTGTGGTCGGACCTCAGCAACTCCCTGAAGCTCCTGTTCTCAGGTGAGGAAGTCCCATCTTTACCCCAAACATTCTTTGAAGCATCAGACAGGTTGCTGTGGATCTTGCTCCCAGGCAAGTCCCAAGCGTGAGGGTGGAATGAGGGGAACGAGGGCTTCTGGGGCCAGAGACACAGAGTATAAGTGATGGTGAGATCTGCAGAGCCAGGAGGACAAGGGATGTATTTGAGGGGAGTCAGCCCCCAAAGTCCTGACTTGTCTTTCCCTCTAGGTGTGTCTAGGACTCCCTGCACGGGACCAAACAGGGGCCCCTCCTAATCTCTGGAGAGAGTCTGACCTTCCAGTGTTGCTCTGATGTTGGCCACCAAGGACTTTTCCTGTCTGAGGAGAGGCGACATGACCACCCTGGCACCATGGCTGGCAGCCCCAGGCTGGGCTCCGTCAGGCTGACGTTTCCTTGGAGTGGCTCCCATGGGAGCCAGGACAGATGCTGTGCTAAACGCAACGTCTTTTCTTTTCTTTTCTTGTTTTGTTTTGTTTTTGTTTTTTTGAGATGGAGTTTCGCTCTTGTTGCCCAGGCTGGAGTGCGTGGTACGATCTCAGCTCACTGCAACCTTCACCTCCTGGGTTCAAGTAATTCTCCTGCCTCAGCCTCTCAAGTACCTGGGATTACAGGCATACACTACCATGCCTGGCTAAATTTTTTTTTTTTTTTTTGTATTTTTAGTAGAGACTGGGTTTTGCCATGTTGGCCAGCCTGGTGTTGAACTCTTGACCTCAGGTGATCCACCCACCTCGGCCTCCCAAAGTGCTGGGATTACAGGCGTGAGTCACCGCACCGAGCCCACAATGTCTTTTCTGATTGTTTGGTCCCCTGAATCCCCTGGATATGCTATTGCAGGTGAGGGGTCCAGCAGGTTCACTCAGGGACCCAGATTCTGCACAGGGCCTGCTGGGGATCTGCAGGCGGTGATGACCAGCATGATGAGTGTATTAGTCTGTTTTCTTGCTGCTGATAAAGACATCCCCAAGACTGGGTGATTTATAAAGAAAAAGAGGTTTAATGGACTCACAGTTCCATGTGGCTGGGGAGACCTCATAAGCATGGTGGAAGGTGAAAGGCACATGGTGGCAGACAAGAAAGAAATGAGAGCCAAGTGAAAGGGGTTTCCCCTTATAAAACCATCAGATCTCGTGAGACTTACTACCAGGAGAACAGTATGGGGGAAACCACCCACCGCCTCCACGATTCAATTATCTCCCACCAGGTTCCTCCCACAACACGTGGGAATTATGGGAGCTACAATTCAAGATGAGATTTGGGTGGGGACACAATCAAACCACGTCAATGGATAAGGTTCTTTAGAGAGGGAAAGAGACAGAGGGGCAAGGTGGATGGGAGGGAGAGGAAGAGACTCAGAGGAAACAGTGAATGACAGAGAGACTGAGGGTCCTAGAGAGAAGCCCTGGGAAGGTCTCTGCTCAGAACAAGGTGGGGGCAGCCCCTCACCCATCCTGCCTCTCTCTAGGACAGGTGCCTGAGGGATATTCCCTGTTGGTGCAGCCGGGCTCCATGGTGGCCTCAGGAAAGAACATGGTCCTGCTACATCAGTGACACTTTTCTTATTTCCAAGAAGGGAGCAGCAGATCCCTACCTTTGTGTCTAATATCAAAGTACCAAGCTCAGCAGTACAGGCTGAATTCTCCATGAATGCTGGGAGGACCTACAGGTGCTATGTCTTATAGAGTACCTCCCCCTACCTGTTTTCACACCCCAGGGACCCCCAGGGTTTGTGGTCTCAGGTAAGGAGATCCTACCCCATGAGCACTGAGGCTGGAATGAGACATGTGTGAACATATGAGAAAATGTGTTTAGAACTTCATGTTCATAACACAGCTTTGGATCACAAGGTCAGGAGATCGAGACCATCCTGGCCAACATGGTGAAACCCCATCTCTACTAAAATACAAAAAATTAGCCGGGCGTGGTGGTGCACGCCTGTAGTCCCAGCTACTCGGGAGGCTGAGGCAGGGGAATCGCTTGAACCCAGGAGGCGGAGATTGCAGTGAGCCGAGATCGCACCAGTGCACTCCAGCTTGGTGACAGAGTGAGACTCCATCAAAAAAAAAAAGAAAAAAGAAAAATTCCTAAATTGTATATACTTATTGTGTAAAGTATGTAGTTTTGAAATATATATACTTGTCTGTTGGGCAAATCAATCTAATTAACATATACATTACTTTCCATATTTCTAATTTTTGTGTGGTAAGAACCCTTAAAATCTACTTTTATAGTGATTTTTAAGGATATAATACACTGTTATGTCTTCCGAGATGGTGAAAATACCAAAATGGTGTGTAGAGATTCATTCTGCATTCTTGTATCCAAGAAAGAACATGGGAGGTGATATGGTTTGGCTGTGTCCCCACCCAAATCTCATCTTGAATTGTAGCTCCCATAATTCCCACGTGCTGTGGGAGCCGGTGGGAGATAACTGAATCATGGAGGCAGTTTCTCCCATTCTGTTCTTGTGGTCGTGAATAAGTCTCAGAAGAGCTGATGATTTTATAAGGGGTTTCCCCTTTTGCTTGGCTCTCATTTCCTCTGTACCTGCCACCACGTGAGATGTTGCTTTCACCTTCCACCATGATTGTGAGGCCTCTGCAGCCATGTGGAACTGTGAGTCAATTAAATCTCTTTTTCTTATAAATTACCTGGTCTCGGGTATGTCTTTATCAGCAGCCTGAAAATGGACTAATACAGGAGTTGAATATGAAAGTGAAGGAAATCTCAGATACTGCTAAAAAGAAGGCAGGCAGCAGCTCATGCAGCAAGACCTGGCAGAAAACCATGAGTGAACTTCCAGTGCCTGAGAGGGAAGTTATGAGACCACATGATACCCATTCTCAGTGGGGAGCCAGGCAATCCAGGCCACTGGGGAGCTCTTTGACCGACCTAAGCCCTGGATCTGACTTAGGGAACAGCGGGAGGACTGTGAAAAGGAAGGGCCCAGGGAAGTGCTCCATGTGTGCTCCCAGACCTGGATGCTGATAGAAAGAGGCCATTCCTGATCCTAACCCTTAGTGGGCAGTGCAAGAACTTGACATCGGCCCGGCGCGGTGGCTCACGCCTGTAATCCCAGCACTTTGGGAGGCCGAGGCAGGCGGATCACGAGGTCAGGAGATCGAGACCATCCTGACTAACACGGTGAAACCCCGTCTCTACTAAAAATACAAAAAATTAGCTGGGCGTGGTGGCTCATGCTTGTAATCCCAGCACTTTGGGAGGCCGAGGCAGGCGGATCACGAGGTCAGGAGTTCAAGACCATCCTGGCTAACACGGTGAAACCCCGTCTCTACTAAAAATACAAAAAATTAGCCGGGCACGGTGGTGGGTGCCTGTAGTCCCAGCTACTCGGGAGGCTGAGGCAGGAGAATGGCACGAACCTGGGAGGCGAAGCTTGCAGTGAGCTGAGATCACGCCACTGCACTCCAGCCTGGGCGACAGAGCGAGACTCCGTCTCAAAAAAAAAAAAAAGAACTTGACATCAAACATGGGTGAGGGTCACTACTTCGGAGAGTCTTGGGCCAGAGATTGACAATCTGGGCTCAAGTAGAAGACAGGTCCCCATGGACAGAACTGAGAGGCAATTGTGGCATGGGCTCCAGACACCAAGCACTGGCGTTGGACACCTCTCTTTGACAGAACCGAGGGGGAAAAGTTGTAGCCTGAGAGGCATGGATTTTACCCAGGAGGCAAGATCTGTGGCCTGGGGTAGTTGAGTGGTCTGACATCAAACCGCATGTGATTTGACGGTCTGAAATTGCTTCCAGCATTGGGCCACAGGGAGGAGCTCTGCTGGGTTGGGAGCATTAGATTAAAGTGAGTCCCACTGTCATTTTCTAGGCTTGGAACCCAACGTGCCCCTCTGGGGAACTCTGCTGTAACTTTGGCATAATAGTCATTGCCCTACTCAGTGCTTGAGTGTCTCTCCAGGGACCTGAGAACCACACATGTAGCCTCTGTGGGGACGGAGCCTGTGCCTAGCATTGGGCCTGAGTACAGGCTTGCCTGGACCAGCCACACTTACCTTCATTTCCCTGCGTTGGAGGCAGAGTACTGATCAAGACCACTGAGTTTTCCACAACCCAACCCATCACTTAGGATACCTGAATGCTTCTGGTTAACAAAGGTCAAGCATAAAGCCCACTGCCAGCGCTACAACTGGCTCTCACCAGCAATTGCCACCTACTGGCCTGGAGGTCAAACCATACAGCACATTACAACGTCTCCTGAAACAAGTGACAGTGATTGGGGAAGAGACAAGTTTCACACAAACTCTGCCACCACCATTGCCCACGCCACCCCAGCTACACCTCTCCTTTGCAGAACCGCTTGAGGAAAGGCTAAACCTTTCTGCAAAGGAGAGGTGTCTAATTCCAGTGCTCGGGGTCTGGAGCCCATGCCACACTTGCCCCTCAGTTCTGTCTGTGGGGACCTGTCCCCTACTTGAGACCAGATTGCCAAGGAGGAGGCCTTAAGTTAACTTGCCTGCTCTGTCACCTACCTGAGCCTGGGAAGGTTGAGGCTGCAGTGATCCAAGATCGTGCCACTGCACTCCACCCTGGGTGACAAAGTGAGACCCTGTCTCAAAAAACAAAAACAAAAAAACTGCTCTGACCTTTTCAAAAGTATCAAGGTCAAGAACAAAGATAAACAAAGGCACCACGCAGTGGAGTAAGAGCCTGTCTATTGCCTATTGCTCTCAAGCGCCATCTACTGGATTACAGCCACACTACAACACCAAAAATCACTTTACTAAATTCTACCGCCTGGAAAACCAAGAGCAAGAATTCAGCAAAGACCCTGTACAGAGCCTTAGTCCCCTGAAAACTTCCAGAAATAAAGCCAACAGACTATACTCAATTTATACCCTTGCAATGAAAGGAATAGCAACCCTCCCAGATGAGAAAAAAAATCAGGGAAATAACTCCTATTATCTCCAAACCAGTCCACGAGCTCCCCAGAAATTGTTCTTAATCAGTATGAATTGTCTGAAATGACAAACGTAGAATTTGGAATCTGGATGGCAAGGAAGGTCATTCAAATCAAGAGCAAAGTTGAAATTCAATCCAAGGAAGCCAAGCAATCCAGTAAAATGATTAATGACATGAACGATTAAATTTTAAGAAACACCCAAACTGAACTTCTCGAGCTGAAAAATTCATGACACGAATTTCATAATACGATGAGAAGCATTAACAGCAGAATAGACCAAGCTGAGGAAAAGAATTTCAAAGCTTGAAGACTTGTTTGAATCAAATCAGTCAAATATAAGGAAAAAATATTTTTAAAAGTGAACAAAATCTCTGAGAAATATGATATTATCTAAAGACACCAAATGTATGACTTGTCAGCATTCCTGAAAGGGGAAGAGAGAATAAGCAACTTGGAAAATATATTTGAGGATATAGTCCATGAATATTTTCCTAAACTCGCTAGAGAGTTTGACACACAAATCCAAGAAACATAGAGACGCCCAGCCAGATAACGGTCTAGATTTGAGGGTATGGTGAAAAAGATGCTTAGAAAATGTCAGAAGTGAGACACAATGGCTCATTTGCTTGTGTCTTGCATTCTCCACCTTGCAATTCTGTACTGATGGCTGTACTATCAGCAGGATCCACTCGTTATTATATTCACTATCAACCTTCAGCCTAAGGGTTTTGGCAGCCATTGATGTTTATTGCTTGTATACTCAACGCACAGGTTATCCAAGCTTTGCAGGGTTAACTATTATTATGCAAAAACTCTACAGCTATTCTTAGGCAAAAACATTACTATAGCTATTACTATACTTATTATTATGTAGAAACATTCTACAGAAAAGAATGTTTCCTGTGTAACACTTCAGATAAACAAAAGAGATCTTGCTTCTTGCCTTCATTTCCACGTTTTTGATGTGGAGATTTTGTTCTTTTCCCATTCCTCATATTTGAGGGGTTTTTTGTTTTTTAATTTTGTTTTTAACAGTAGTAAACTGATAGGCTTTGAACATATTCATTAGTTTTAATACACTACCTATATTATTTGATTCTATAAATATTCCACATTTTGCCATTGGGAACTTTTCATGATAGACTTTATGTTCAGGTAACATGAATCTGATGGTATGTGGTGATGTCTTTGCTTTCTTGCATGATAAGAAGTTCTGACTTCATCTCCTGTATTTTCTCTCCGAATGTGGAGTCAGCTATTTCTCTAGGATGAAATTTAGAATTTTTGACCATACATATTTTAAGAATTAAACATTTTTGAGGGTGTATTCACTTATGTTTTACTATATATAGTCAAAATTATATAATAATATTAACTATATGTCACTACATAATATATAATTTGATTTAAAAGTATACATTTATTATATAATATGATAAATAATATATGCATTATAAAATATATGGTCAAGTAATTTTGCTTACATTCTAGTACAAATAATTCTTCCTTGTTTAGTAATGCCCTAATTTGATAGGAACTCAATTCTATTTCCTTTTTTAAGGTATTATCTTTAGATTTATAAGTTATATTTAAAAATATTTTATAGTATAGACATTCAGGAATATGTTTATATATGTATATATATATATTTTTAAACGGAGTCTTGCTCGTCGCCCAGGCTAGAATGCTGTGGGTGGCAAGCCACCCAGGTGCCGAGGCAAGAGACAGAGGACACGAGCTGTTCCAGTATAATAAAATATAAAACAAGAATAGTTATACCAGATATAGATCTTAGTTATGATTATATATGAATATCATTAATCATTTGTTTGTAGCAGTTACCCTTTATCCCAATATTATAATAATCCTCCCTCTGTAATCATAACCTAGGAAAAGCCAGGCCATACAGAGATAGGAGCTGAGGGGACACAGTGAGAAGTGACCAGAAGACAAGAGTGCGAGCCCTCTGTCATGCCCGGACAGGGCCACCAGAGGGCTCCTTGGTCTAGCGGTGACGCCAGCGTCTGGGAAGACGTCCGTTGCCAAGCGGACCGTGGTCTAGCGGTAGCGTAAGTGGCAAGGAACAACACCCGCTACTTAGCAGACTGGGGAAGGGAGTCTCCCTTTCCCCGGGGGAGTTTAGAGAAGACTCTGCTCCTCCACCTCTTGTGGAGGGCCTGACATCAGTCAGGCTCGCCCGCAGTTATCCGGAGGCCTAACCGTCTCCCTGTGATGCTGTGCTTCGGTGGTCACGCTCCTAGTCCGCCTTCATGTTCCATCCTGTACACCTGGCTCTGCCTTCTAGATAGCAGTAGTAAATTAGTGAAAGTACTAATAGTCCCTGATATGCAGAAATAATGGCGTAAGCTGTCTTTCTCTCTGTCTCCTCTCCCTCTCTGCCTCGGCTGCCAGGCAGGGAAGGGCCCCCTGTCCAGTGGACACGTGACCCACGTGACCTTACCTATCATTGGAGGTGACTCACACTCTTTACCCTGCCCCTTCTGCCTTGTATCCAATAAATAACAGCGCAGCCCAACATTCGGGGCCACTACCGGTCTCCGCGCATTGGTGGTAGTGGTCCCCCGGGCGCAGCTGCCTTTTCTTTTATCTCTTTGTCTTGTGTCTTTATTTCTACACTCTATCGTCACCACACACAGGGAGAGACCCACCGACCCTGTGGGGCTGGTCCCTACAAATGCAGTGGCACAGTCTCAGCTCACTGCAATCTCCACCTCCCAGGTTCAAGCAATTCTCCTGTCAGAGCCTCCCGAGTAGCTGGGATGACAGGAGTGTGCCACCATGCCCAGCTAATCTTTTTATTTTCAGTAGAGGTGGGGTTTCACCATGTTGGCCAGGCTGGTCTTGAACTCCTGATCTTGCGATTCGCCCACCTCAGCCTCCCAAAGGTATGTTTATATTTCTATACCAAAACAAGAAACAAGACACAATGATGTCAGTCTAGCTTTATTCTGTCTCCTCTGCACTGTTTTCTCTCTCTCTCTCAACTACCCACTTTTAAAGGTATTGATTAATCTTTCATTTTAAAAAATAGATTACAAAATACACACACAATGACATAACACTATACCATTTTTCTCTGGTTCTGAGTAAAATAAAGTTAACTGTTGATAACGTCCTGAATCTTTCTTTTTCTTTTCTCCCTGCCACCCCAACTACACAACTACACGTCTTGGAAGGTCAGCCTTCAAGATAACTCATTCATCTCACCCACAGCTGCCCAGGACTCCACTGTG
Organism: Homo sapiens; assembly: GCF_000001405.40. NCBI lineage: Eukaryota > Metazoa > Chordata > Mammalia > Primates > Hominidae > Homo > Homo sapiens. The sequence continues at coordinate 303,167 of NW_003571055.2, read as the reverse complement.
GGGAGGCCCAGGAATTTATTGAGTCTTTCTTTGATTGAAATTAAGTGGGTTCAAGTCATTGTAGTTTTACAAATCATAATTTTGGAATAAATAGCTTTGTAATTGTACAAGTTTGTTCTTAATGTTTGTATTCACCTGGAATAATGAGTTTCGTGAGAAAAAGGCATTTTCTGGGTGTCAGGCCTCTGAGCCCAAGCTAAGCCATCATATCCCCTGTGACCTGCACGTACACATCCAGATGGCTGGTTCCTGCCTTAACTGATGACATTCCACCACAAAAGAAGTGAAAATGGCTTGTTCCTGCCTTAACTGATGACATTATCTTGTGAAATTCCTTCTCCTGGCTCATCCTGGCTCAAAAGCTCCTCTACGGAGCACCTTGTGACCCCCACACCTGCCCACCAGAGAACAACCCCTCTTTTTCCTTTACCTACCCAAATCCTATAAAATGGCCCCACCCCTATCTCCCTTCGATGACTCTCTTTTTGGACTCAGCCCACCTGCACCCAGGTGATTAAAAGCTTTACTGCTCACACAAAGCCTGTTTAGTGGTCTCTTCACACGGAAGCGCATGAAACCGGGTACAGTGAAAACACTCAATTGTATTTTTCAGTCTACAGATTCCTCTGATGAAAATAGAATCAAACTCCAACATCTCCTCTAAATGGAGATGGTTTCTGTTAACTTAAATTGGAGTATTACCTTTCTCATTCAGACCGCTGCTGGAATCCTTGGAAATTCTCTACTCCTTTACTTTTATAGCTTTACTTTTGTCCCCACACAAATAGTGAGACCCAGAGACCTGATTCTCAGCCAGCTGGTCTTAGCCAACAACCCGGTTCTTTTCTCTAAAGGGATCCCTCAGACAGTGGCGGCTTTTGGATTGAAACCTTTCCTGGATGAGGCTGGATGTAAACTTGTCTTCTACCTACACAGAGTGGCCAGAGGGGTTTCCCTCAGCACCACCTGCCTCTTCAGTGGCTTCCAGGCCATGAAGCTTCACCCCAGTATCTCTGGGAAGATGGAACTCTGAATTAGATCCCCAAAGTTTATAGTTTTCTGCTGTTTCCTCTGTTGGATCTTGAATCTTGTTGTAAATATTTATACTGCAAAGTAAATAACTGACCCAATAAAGAGCAAAAACATGAGTATGGAAAAAATGTATAGATACTGCTCCTCACCCTATCCAGGAAGATCGCTGTATGTAATAGTTGCAGTCATTTACTGCTGCACAGATGGTATATGTGTCTCCCGTATATGTGTCTCCCTCATGATCTGCACCAGCAGCTCCATGGTCCTCGTCCTGCATAGATACAAGCAGAGAGTCCAACATGTTCGCAGCCGCAACCTCTCCCGCAGAACATCTCATGAAACCACAACCACACACACCATCCTCATCCTGGTGAGCATGTTTGTCTCCTCTCATGCTCTAGCTGATATTTTGTCATTGTGCGTAACCCAGATTCAGAATCCAAGCCAATGGCTGAGAAGTACCTCTTTCCTGGCGTCTGCAGGATTCCCGACATTCAGCCCCTTTGTGTTCATTGTCAGTGACGCCCGAGTGTCACGGTTCTACTTTGTGTGCTAGATAAGGAAGAGAAATGCCCCAGGTATGGTCTCTGGGCTATAAATTGCCTCCAGACCATTGCATCCTCTATTTAATCACTTCCTCCACCCCGGTGTTTGAAGGCTCACACATCAGGCCTGTGAAGGTACACCCACACGCTGCCCTGGCCATTCAGAATCCCCAAACCTCCCACTCTGGGGTATGCAAGTGCACAGCAAAGACTCCACTTGGGAGCAATTATGCAACAGCTTGTATTCAAGTAATCTCACATGAAATAACATTAAAATGAAATTAAGTATAATAAAACCCAACATCTGGACAGAGTTTATTTTTGGAAGAAGTTTAATCAAAGGCAGCCATAAGCATGTAAATAAATTCCAACTCATTTACTCATTGTAAATTATTTTTATTTGTAACATTTATTTGTAAAAATTATTTGTAAACTCATTGTAAATTAAAATATTAAATTTACAATGGACATGCAAAAAAAGACTTGTAAATAAATGCATTATGTAGTAATACTAATTTCTTTATTGGGTCTCAAAGGAAACTTTTAACTTAAGACACTTTTATTTTACCAACAAATAACAATATTTCTCTCAGAATTATTCTTTGTAACACCACAACGGCTGTAACCCATCCAACTTCACTCAAAGAAAGTGAAGTAAGTGCTCTAAAGAAAAAAATATCCTGGCCGGGCACGGTGGCTCACACCTGTAATCCCAGCACTTTGGGAGGCCAAAGCAGGTGGATCACCTGAGGTGAGGAATTCGAGACCAGCCTGACCAACAGGGTGAAATCCTGTCTCTACTAAAAATACAAAAATTAACTGGGCGTGGTGGCTCATGCCTGTCATCCAGCTACTTGGGAGACTGAGACAGGAGAATCACTTGAACATGGGTAGCAGAGGTTGCAGTGAGCTGAGGTCAGGCTGTTGCACTCCAGCCTGGGTGACAGAGCGAGACTCCATCTCAAAGTAAAAGAAAAGAAAAAGATGAGAGAAGCTCATACCTTCAGAACTGAAACATAGGGAAAGAGGAAGCAGAAATTAAAGCAAATCGAAATTTCATTGCGTCATACGGTCAGGAAGGCAACGAAACAAAAGTTTGCAGAAGGGCTAAAAGTCACTGTCAGGAACTGCATTAACGTCATTACATTTAGGGTTTTTTGTGGGTTTTCTTTTTAGATTTTAGCAAAAAATTCATGAAGCAACTCTAAAATACTTATACTTCAATATGGTAAATTAAATTTATATTAGGACTTCAAATATAATCTTTTCCTCTCTGTTCTGAGTGTCATGCTTGTGACATTGATAGAAGGTGGACTCTAGGCAATAAAAGAAAAAATTCAATTTTTTACTGATAAATTCAGGTACAATAACCGCCTGTTATTTTATTGTGGACCATTTTTTCTCTTTTTTTTTTTTTTGAGACGAAGCTTCTCTCTGTCGCCTAGGCTGGAATGCAGTGGCACCATCTCGGCTCACTGCAACCTTCACCTCCTGGGTTCAAGTGATTCTCCTGCCTCAGACTCCCCAGTAGCTGGGATTACAGGTGCCCACCATCATGCCCGGCTAATTTTTAATTTTTAATAGAGATGGGGTTTCACCATGTTGGCCAGGCTTGTCTCGAACTCCTGACCGCAGGTGATCTGTCCGCCTTGGCCTCACAAAGTGCTAGGATTACAGGCGTGAGTCACCGCACCTGGCCCATTTTCTCTTCATGATAATTCATGAGTAGCTGGGATTACAGGCACCCACCACCATGCCCAGCTAAGTTTTTGTATTTTCAGTAGAGACGGTGTTTCACCATGTTGGCCAGGCTGGTCTCAAACTCCTGACCTCAGGTGATCCACCCGCTTCGGCCTCCCAAAGTTCTGAGATTACAGGCGTGAGCCACCTCACACGGCTTTATTGTTGTTGTTGTTTTTAATGTTACTCTATTTTTTTAGATTCAGGCGCTACACGCGCAGGTTCCTTACATGGATGCATTGCGTTCTGGTGGGGTTTAGGTGTCTAGTGCTCGCATTACCCATACGGCTCACCAGATATTACGGGGGAGGCAGAGGGGACACTCCCCCATCCCCAAAAGCCTAAATAACATCAAAAATCTTCCACATGGGGCCCAGGTGAAGGTCTCTGCAGGATCCCCCAGCTTGGGTGGGCTCAGCTGTCACCCAGGGGTCCGGTGCGGGGACTGGTAACCCATGGGCCTGTCGGTTGGAGCGGGGGTCTCACCTGCTTGCCCATCGCTGAGCTCCACCACTATCCAAGGAAAGATGAAGGCGCCAAAAGCAAAGCCTTTGGTTAGTGTGACAGCTCTGCAGTATTAGCAGCTGTTTACTGTTACAGCCTGTGTGACCGCTCTTGGAGCCCTGATCACAGACTGCCCCGCCCCGCTGTCTCTCCGACTGTCTCAGCAACCTCTCGCTGTCTAGCCCAGTGCCACCTCTCCGTGTCTTTCACCCATTGCCACCCCTCCGCTGATCACTGTCACCATCTCTGCTGTCTAGCCATCTCGCCTCTCTCCTAATTGTCCCTGCCTCTGCGGAAAGTCTCTCTGCCTCTCACTCGCTGTCTCCGTCATCCCTTCCTGGTAACTAGATGATGCGGGGAAGGGGAGCTCCCAAATCGGGGCATAGCCCAGAAGAGTTCTTGGCTTTGCCTAAGAAAGAATTTAGGCCGGTCGCGGTGGTCCACACCTGTCATCCCAGCACCTTGGAAGGCTGAGGCGGGCAGATCATTTGAGGTCAGGAGTCTGAGACCAACCTGGCCAACACGGTGAAACCCCGTCTCTACTAAAGACTACAAAAATTAGCAGGGTGTGGTGGCTGGTGCCTGTAATTCCAGCTACTTCGGAACCGAGGCAGGAGAATCGCTTGAACTCCGGAGGCAGAGATTGCAGCGAGCCGAGATGGCGCCATTGCACTTCAACCTGGGTGACAGAGTAAAACTCTATCTCAAAAACAAAAAAAAAAGGAATTTAAGGGTGAGCTGGTGTTACACAACCCCTTAAGGGTTACGGCAACCTCTAGTCAAGTGGCCGAGCACAGCAGCAGCAGAGGTACTGCTCCTAGGGTGGCAGGGCTGCCCCACAGGCGGTGTGCCCAGAATAGCAGCTCAGAAACACACCTGCAGCCACTCTTGTACCTGCTTTTAATTATATGCAAATTAAAGGTCAGGTATGCAGAAATTCCTAGAAAAAGGGCGGTAACTTCCGGTCAGTGGGTCTTTGCCGTGGAAAAGGGCGGTACCTTCCGGGGGTTGCCATGGCAACGGTAAACCGGGATGCCACACTGGTGGGCGTGTCTTAAGAAGAGCTGCTTCCACCCTCTGCCCTGTTTTAGCTAGTTCTCAATCTGGTGTGGTGTCTGAGTCCCCGCCTCCAAAGTCCCACATCCTACCTCAGAACTTCTGAGAAAGCCTTTTCCCCTTCCGCCCTGGCCTTTCCCATCCGAATAAGAAGGAGCTGCCTGGAAGTGACCCCCAAAGCCCTTTCATTTCTGACCTTCTGGGGCATCTGGGTTGCGGCTCATCCTAGACCTGCTGCCGTCCCCCAGCCCTCCCTTGGCCTGGTCAGCTCCTACCAATAACTGTGTGTTGCAAGGGTTAGAAAGCCAGGAGAGGCAGCTGCAGGTACATGTAATTGTAATTGTATCCATCAATGTTGGGGTCTGAGATTCGTGAGATGAAGCCACAGTATTAGGAGAAAGCAAAGATTTGTAAAAACCCCACTGTTTAGAATCTCCCCTCTCTCACACATCACACACTGTTTCAGATTTTCTACTAAAAGCAACACCCAGCACAGCTGTGCATGACTCCCAGGCCCCTACCCTGTCCTGCAGGATATGTGATGAGCAGAGGAAGGAGAGCAGGCTGGATCAGGAGGATTTGGGGTCCAGCCAGACTCAGACATGGGGAAGACGCTGGGGCTGATGGAGGAGGAAGAGAGGCAAGCAAGTTGGAGAGAGGACAGATGGACGCTCCCTTGGGAGCTCTTATTTCTCATTTCCAAGAGCCCCTGAGGATGAAGCCCCTCACCCACACATGCGGGGTCCCTGGGTCCTCTTATGACAGGACAGGAGGCTGCTCGGGCCTCGGTGGGATCTGACTGGGATGAGGCTGGGGTCCGCCCCAGACCTGCTCCTTTAGAGAGAAGCACCCCACTTGTGGGTGCACCTCACACCGCCCCTCCTGTGCTCACCTGAAGGCCTCTGTGCTCAGGGAACCCCTGAGAGTAAGGAGGGGCCACGCACCTGCTCCCTGGATGAGTTAGGGAGTTATTCACAGCGCGGCTTGTGTGTCATTCATTTCTACCCTGCCTTTTCTGTGCACACTTGTCTATTGTTACTCTCTGTTCTTCTGAAACATTTAAAGCAATACATGAATATATAAACTTATCATTTTAATTTGGGACATGATTTCATTTATATATTTGCTTTAGAAAATAGTTTCTTATTTATGTTAAGTTTTCCTATCCTAAACTTTTAAAATTGAGGTTTATTGATGAACTTAAGAAGTGTCTTGAAATTTTATTTATAAGAATTTTATATATTTATTTCAATTTAAACAATTATTCAATCACTTGAATAATCTGTAAATGAGGTCTTTGATTCCTTATAAATAAAAGCTAGGTATACATGATACAGTAATTGGTTTGAGTTCATTTACTTTATTTTATACCAACTTACTACAGAATTTCTTAATTCCAATTATTTTCAATTGATCCCCTCTAATTTACTAATAAAATGTACATAACTCACACAAAAGTTGAAATTTCACTTTATTTCTAAATTGCATTCCAATTGCTGTCTCCCAGGCTGGAGTGCAGTGGCGTGATCTCGGCTCACTGCAAGCTCCACCTCCCGGGTTCACGCCATTCTCCTGCCTCAGCCTCCCGAGTAGCTGGGACTACAGGTGCCCGCCACCACGCCTGGCTAATTTTTTGTGTTTTCAGTAGAGACAGGGTTTCACCATGTTAGCCAGGATGGTCTCGATCTCCTGACCTTGTGATCCACCCGCCTCAGCCTCCCAAAGTGCTGGAATTACAGGCGTGAGCCACCGCGCCGGGCGGATTATTCTCTAGTTCTTTTAGTTGTGATGTTAGGTTGTTAATTTGAGATCACCCATCACCACACCTGGCTAATTCTTTTGTATTTTTAGCAGAGACGGGGTTTCACCATGTTGGCCAAGCTGGTCTTGAACTCCTGACCTCGTAATCCACCTGCCTCAGCCTCCCAAAGTGCTGGGATTAGAGGCGTGAGCCACTGCAACTGGCCTATATGTCTATTTTTATACCAGTGTCATGCTCTTTTGGTTACTATAGCCTTGTAAACTTTGAGTCAGTTAATGTGATGTCTCTAGCTTTGCTCTTTTTGCTTAGGATTGCTATGGCTGTTTGGGCTCTTTTTTTGGCTCAATATAACTTTTAAGGTTTCTTTTTCTAAGTCTGTGAAAAATGAAGGTATTTTTGTAAGGACTGCATTAAATCTGTAGATTGCTTTGGGCAATGTGGTCATTTTAATCATAGTAATTATTCTGATTTATGAGAATGGGATGTTTTTCCATCTGTTTGTGTCTTCTACAATTTCTTTCATCACTGGTTTGAAGTTTTCCTTGTAGAAATCTTTCACCTCCTTGGTTAAATATATTCCCAGGTGTTTTATTTTTGTGCACCCACTGTCCATGGGATTGCCTCCTTGACTTGGTTCTCAGCTTCGTCATTATTGGAGTACAGAAATGCTACTGATTTCTGTACTTTGATTCTATATCCTGAAACTTTACTGCATTTCTTTATCAAATCTAAGAGTGTTTTGGCTGAGTCTTTAGGGTTTTTGAGGTATAAGATAATATCATCAGCGAACAGAAATAATTTCACTTTTTTTTTTTCCAATTTAGATGTGTTTTATTTCTTTGTCTTGCCTGATTGCTCTGGCAAGGACCTCCAGTACTACGTTGAAGAGTGGTGACAGTGCACATCTTTGTCATGCTCCAGTTCTTAGGGGGAATGCTTTCTATTTTTCCCTGTTTGCGATATTGGCTGGGATTTCGTCACCTATCGCCTTTAGTATTTTGAGGTATGTCCCTCTGTACCTTGTTTGTTGGGAATTTTTATCATGAAGGGATGCAGGATTTTATCAAATGCTTTTTCTGCACCTCTGTGACATAATCATAGAGACTGAAACCAGAATCCTCTCATGTCCCAACCCCTCATGTCTTAATCTAGTCTAGACATTAACCGTGATTGAGCCTCTCCCATGACCCAAGCACGGCTGACCCCCACATCCGCTGTGATGAGTGAGGTTCATGACAACAGGCTCCACACAGGGAAACTGAGGCTCAGAGATGAGACAGTACTGCCCAAGATCACACAAGCCGTAGATAATAATCGGGAATTACATAGAAATCAACTCCCCACCAGCCGGGCGCAGTGGCTCACGCCTGTAATCCCAGCACTTTGGGAGGCCGAGGTAGGCGGATCATGAGGTCAGGAGATCGAGACCATCCTGGCTAACATGGTGAAACCCTGTCTCTAATAAAAATACAAAAAAATTAGCCGGGCGTGGTGGCGGACGCCTGTAGTCCCAGCTACTCGGGAGGCTGAGGCAGGAGAATGGTATGAACCCGGGAGGTGGAGCTTGCAGTGAGCCGAGATAGCGCCATTGCACTCCAGCCTGGGCGACAGAGCGAGACTCGGTCTCAAAAAAAAAAAAAAGGAAAGAAAGAAAGAAAGAAAGAAATCAACTCCCCACTCAGCAAACCAGAGCCCAAACCTAAGTAATGTACCCACAAAAATTAAAAAATAAATAGATACATAAGAATGAAAATTTTAAAACAAAGCCTAAGTAATTACTCCGAAAATGTTGAACATGGATTGAGGTATAGAGGGAAGCCCAAAGAAACAGAAGGCACAGTGGAGGCAGAAAAGATTCAGAGGTTTGTTACTGGAGGTGGGGTGGAGGTGGACGCTGTTGCAAAAAAAAAAAAAAAAAAAAAAAATTAAGGGAAGTACAAGAAAGAGAGTACTATTGGTTAGAAAGAAAACACTCCAGGGCCACTAAAGGGTCATGATTTCCTCCCCTATTTCCCTGCATTTCTCCTCTGTGCTCATTGCCACATGCAGCTCAGCCTGGGCTACACAGCCAGGTGTCAGATGTGTCTCTGCTGATCTGAGTCTGCCTGTGGCATGGACCTGCATCTTCCCTGAAGCATCTCCAGGGCTGAAAAATCACTGACCATGGTAAGGACCCCGCAACGCTGAGCTCATGGACGGGCTGAAGGAGGGAGGGAGACCCCATGGGGAGGCTCTGAGAGGGAGGAGGTCACCCTCGCCTGAAAGGGGCTGACTCAGGAAGGCACCGGGTCTATTTGCTGCTGTGTCCCGGCTCTCAGTGAGATAAAGATAAATCAGGCAGACAGTGGCCCGGGGAAGGGAGACCCCACTTCTGTCTGAAATGTCTGCAGAGAGCCTGGTGCCTGTAGTCTCAACTACTTCACTTCAGCCCTGGGGAAATGAGAGCCAGGCTCCTGGGGAGAGCAGTTCCCCTTTCTGTGGGCTGAGAATGAGAAAATCCTATGACAAGAAGGACCCAGCCTCCGAGCTGCCACACCCTGTGTGTCTCTCTGTCCTGCCAGGCACCATGGTCTCATCCATCTGCACAGCTGCAGCCAGTGGGAGGAGACGCCGTGAGCCCTGCCCTCATGGTTCTGCTCTGCCTCGGTGAGATTGGAAGCCTCAGGGAAGGGGCACCCTAGTCTGGGAGGGACCCCACCCCATAACGAGGCCCTTGTCTATCAGGAAACTCCAGGGTTTTAGGAGGTTCCCAGGCAGGGGAGGACCTGCTCAGGCTTCAGAGGCAAATCTCTCACAGGGAACTCTCTTCCAGGGCTGAGTCTGGGCCCCAGGACCCACGTGCAGGCAGGTGAGTCTGTCCCCAGCTGTCCCAGGTCCCTCCTCCTCAATGGGGACAAAGGGCCACCCATGGGCAGCTGGGGGTGAAGACCGCAGTTCTGGGTGATTGATGGGGACGTCTGGAGGGTCCTGGGGCTGAGAGCTGGGATCTGAGGGGTGGGGAGGTCTTGGAGCCCAGACTCTGATTTCCTTCCAGGGAACCTCTCCAAAGCCACCCTCTGGGCTGAGCCAGGCTCTGTGATCAGCCGGGGGAACTCTGTGACCATCCGGTGTCAGGGGACCCTGGAGGCCCAGGAATACCGTCTGGTTAAAGAGGGAAGCCCAGAACCCTGGGACACACAGAACCCACTGGAGCCCAAGAACAAGGCCAGATTCTCCATCCCATCCATGACAGAGCACCATGCAGGGAGATACCGCTGTTACTACTACAGCCCTGCAGGCTGGTCAGAGCCCAGCGACCCCCTGGAGCTGGTGGTGACAGGTGAGAGGACACTCTGGGGTCCCAGCTCCAGGCTCTGCCCTCAGGAAGGGGGTCGGCTCTCAGGGGTGTCTCCCTTTCACAGCCCAGCCCTGGGGATGATGTGGGAGGTGGGAGCCCCATTTAACACGGTGCCTCCTTCTCTCCTAGGATTCTACAACAAACCCACCCTCTCAGCCCTGCCCAGTCCTGTGGTGACCTCAGGAGAGAACGTGACCCTCCAGTGTGGCTCACGGCTGAGATTCGACAGGTTCATTCTGACTGAGGAAGGAGACCACAAGCTCTCCTGGACCTTGGACTCACAGCTGACCCCCAGTGGGCAGTTCCAGGCCCTGTTCCCTGTGGGCCCTGTGACCCCCAGCCACAGGTGGATGCTCAGATGCTATGGCTCTCGCAGGCATATCCTGCAGGTATGGTCAGAACCCAGTGACCTCCTGGAGATTCCGGTCTCAGGTGAGGAAGCCACAGTCTTCTCTAGTACAATTCAGGGAAGCCAGACAGGTTGTGGAGAGCTTTACAGGCAGGGCAGCCCCTGCTAAGAAAGACAAAAAGGGGAAGGAGAACACAGAAATCCTAGGGACACAAATTCAGGGTGAGGAAAACAAAGCAAGGGCTGGGCACAGTGGCTCACACGTGTAATCTCAGCACTTTGGGAGGCCGAGGCAGGTGGATCACCTGATGTCAGGAGTTCAAGACCAGCCTGGCCAACATGGTGAAACCCCATTTCTACTAAAAATACAAAAATTAGCTGGGCGTGGCGGCACACACCTGTAATCCCAGCTACTTGGGAGGCTGAGGCAGGAGAATCGCTCGAACCCGGGAGGCGGAGGTTGCAGTGAGCCGAGACTGTGTCATTGCACTCCAGCCTGGGTGACAGAGCGAGACTCTGTCTCAAAAAAAAAAAAAAAGAAAAAGAAAAACAGAGCAAGGGAGACTCCAGAAGGAGGTTTATAGGAGGAACCAGCCCCTGCAGTCCCGGCTCCTTTATCCTTCCAGGTGTGTCTAGAAAGCCCTCCCTCCTGACCCCGCAGGGCCCTGTTGTGGTCCCTGGAGAGAACCTGACCCTCCAGTATCACTCTGATGTTGGCTATGACAGGTTTGCTCTCTACAAGGAGGACAGACGTGACCTCCTCCACTGGCCGGCAGCCCCAGGCTGGGCTCTCCCAGGCTGACTTCCCCCTGAGCTTGGAAGTGACCCCCAAAGCCCCCTCATTTCTGACCTTGTGGGGCATCTGAGATGTGGCTCATCCTAGACCTAGAAAAGCAGCTCCCATCACTCACCCTAAGACCTGGTCTGCTCTTGCCAATAGCTATGCCTCGCAAGGGTTAGAAAGCCAAGAGGGGCAGCTGCAGGTACATGTAATCATATCCATCAGTGCTGGGGTCTGAGGTTCGTGAGACGAAGCCACAATATTATGAGAAAGCAAAGATGTGTAAAAACCCCACTGTTTAGAATCTCCTCTCTCTCACATGTCACACGAAGCGTTTCAGATTTTCTACTAAAAACCATGCAGCTTTACAAGACTCCCAGGCCCCTACCCTATCCTGCGGGATGAGTGATGAGTAGAGGAAGGAGAACAGACCTGGTCAGCAGGATTTGGGGTCCAGGCCTGACTTGGAACATGGGGAAGATGCTGGGGCTGATGGAGGAGGAAGAGAGGCAGGCGAGTTGGAGAGAGGACAGACGGACGCTCCCTTGGCAGCTCTCACTTCTCATTTCCAAGAGCCCCTGAGGATGGAGCCCCTCACCCACACCTGCGGGGTCCCTGAGCCCACTCAGGACAGGGGAGGAGGCTGCTCAGGCCTCGGTGGGATCTGACGGTGATGAGGCTGGAGTCCACGCCAGACCTGCTCCTTTAGAGAGAAGCGCCCCAGCTGTGGGTACCACTCACACCGCCCCTCCTGTGCTCACCTGGAGGCCTCTGTGCTCAGGGCACCCCTGAGACAAAGGAGGGGCCGCGCACCTGCTCCCTGGAGGAAGTTAGGAACTTATTCACAGCACGTCTTGTCTGCTGTTCATTGCTGCTCTGCATTTTCTGGGCATACTTGTTTATTTTTTCTCTCTTCTTCTGAATCTTTTAAAACAATATTTGAATATTTAAATTTGTCTCTTTAAGATATATGGATTTATGATTTAAAAACAAGTAATTCCACTCCCATTGTCCTGGGGGCATAATTCAATATTTACATTTGCTGTATAAAATTAGTTGTTAATAGCAAGTATTTCTATTATTAATATATAAAATTGAAGTTTATTAATGAAGTTAATAAGTGTTTTCAAGTTCCGTTCATAAGAATGTGTACATTTAGTCTAATTTAAAAAATTCTTCAACTACTTTATTCTTAAGTGAAGTATTTGATTCATGTATATTTCTTTTGTTTGTTTGTTTGTTTTTGTTTTTGAGATGGAGTCTTGCTCTGTCGCCCAGCCTGGAGTGCAGTGGCGCGATCTCGGCTCACTGCAAGCTCCGCCTCCTGGGTTCACGCCATTGTCCTGCCTCAGCCTCCCGAGTAGCTGGGACTACAGGCACCCACCACCATGCCGGGCTAATTTTTTTGTATTTTTAGTAGAGATGGGGTTTCACTGTGTTAGCCAGGATGGTCTCGATCTCCTGACCTCGTGATCCACCCACCTAGGCCTCCCAAAGTGCTGGGATTACAGGCGTGAGCCACCATGCCCAGCCTGATTCATTTATATTTCTAAGTAAGATATACACATGAGAAAGCTTTTAGTTTGAGTATATTCATTTAATTTCATTTTAGCTTGCTATAACATTTTTCCCTTTCAATTATCTTTCAACTGATCTCCCCAAATTTACTGATAAAATTTATATTAACTATAAGAAAATTGAAATTTTATTTTTTATTTCTAAACCGCATATCAATTTTTGTCACTTCAAGTATTAATATGCATGTAACTGCATCTTAAATAAATATCTAAAGTTTTACATATATACATATTTATGTATGGTTATATAAGTTACATCTGAATATAAGTGTAGGTATATCTGCATATATTTTTTATACGTATATCTACATGCTTAATGTATTTGACATGGAGGGCTTTTACATGTTTGTTATTGGTCTTCTCACCTAGACTCACACTTTATAAAAGCAGAAATTTTTGTTTGTTTGTTTGAGATGGAGTCTCTTGCCCTGTTGCCCAAGCTGGAGTGCAATGGCATGACCTGGGCTCACTGCAACCTCTGCCTCCCAGGTTCAAGTGATTCTCCTGTCTCAGCCTCCCAAGTAGCTGGGATTACAGGCAGGTGCCACCATGCCCGGCTCATTTTTTTATTTTTAGTAGAGACGGGGTTTCACCATGTTGGCCAGGCTGGTCTCGAACTCCTAACCTCGTGATCTGCCCGCCTTGGCCTCCCAAAGTGCTGGGATTACAGGCATGAGCCACCACGCCTGGCCCTAAAAGCAGAAATTGTTTTATGAGCCTCTGTAACACCATATATATATATATATATATATATATATATATATATATATATATATATTTATATATACATATATATACACACACACACACACACACACATTTATATACATACGTATATATATATGACTGACTATATGAATAGTTAGCTGACTAGAGACTTATTGTATGATGAAACACCAGGTGAGGTGGTTGAGGTGGCGTCAAGGGGAGGCAGCTGTTTGTGATTCTGACTTTCAGGAGCCCCTGAGGACCAACCCGTCATCCATGGAGCCTGGGTCCTCAGCTGGTGGATCCGTGAAACTCTCATCTCTGGGGGAATTGGCTTATGTGCTCCTGTGTCCCAGGCTGCACAGAGAGCACAAAGGGCTCAGTGACTTCTGGGGGCCACTTTCCTTGCAGATCCTGAGCTTTCACGGTGCAGGAAAGCTCTTTCCCAAATGACTCAGGAGCAAAGTTTAAATTCAAAGAACAAAGGAAAGCTGAAATAATTCAGTGAGGAGACTGGAGGGAACCCTGCTCCAGCAGAGGGAGGGTTTATGGAGGAACTCCATAAAAGTCATGTTGAGAGGCACAGGGAACTAGGAGAATGCAGAGCTCAGGGGAGAGGCTGGGCTCAGATTGCTTCAAGAACTTCTCCTTCCCCTTCCCCTGTTTTGATTTTCAGGAGCAGCTGATAACCTCAGTCCGTCACAAAACAAGTCTGACTCTGGGACTGGTGAGTGAGGAGATGCTCTCAGTTATGGAACTGGCACAGAGGGTCAGGTCCTGTCAAGATGATATGGGTGCCCTGGGGAGACATCCAGGGGTCCTGGGTGATACTGATCTGCCCTGACCTCTGTGACCTCTTTGTCCACCATCCCCAGCCTCACACCTTCAGGATTACGCAGTAGAGAATCTCATCCGCATGGGCATGGCCGGCTTGATCCTGGTGGTCCTTGGGATTCTGATATTTCAGGATTGGCACAGCCAGAGAAGCCCCCAAGCTGCAGCTGGAAGGTGAACAGAAGAGAGAACAATGCACCATTGAATGCTGGAGCCTTGGAAGCGAATCTGATGGTCCTAGGAGGTTCGGGAAGACCATCTGAGGCCTATGCCATCTGGACTGTCTGCTGGCAATTTCTTTTTTTCTTTCTTTTCTTTTCTTTCTTTTTTTTTTTTTTTTTTTTTTTTGAGATGGAGTCTTGCTCTGTCACCAGGCTGGAATGCAGTGGCGCAATCTGGGCTCACTGCAACCTCCGCCTCTCGGGTTCAAGTGATTCTCCTGCCTCAGCCTCTGGCAATTTCTAGAGGGAGGAATGGGTGTTTGAGTGCAGAGACACTGGTCTGGGGTGATCCATGGAGGACCATTAAAATGTGACACCTTTCCTTTCTATTAATGTTGACTTCCCTTGGTTGGATTCCCTTCTCTTCCCAGCCCGAGACATGAGGCTACATCCCACATGGCAGGCAGCGTTGGGTCCACATCTCTGCACACCTGCATGCTCTGGTCCTTGGCGTGTCACACAGTCCACTTCAATTCTCATTATCACACTCCCTGTGTGCTTTACTGAGCCTCCATCTCTTCAGTTCAGAGTTCCACACCTGAACCAGTAACTAAATCCATGGGAGAAGATCAGATGCCCTCCAGGAAAAGATAAATCCAAAATGGCGTCCTAACCTCTTGTCTGTAGCCTTCAAGCCCCATTCGCTCTTTTTTTTTTTTTGAGACGGAGTCTCGCTTTGTCACCCAGGCTGGAGTGTAGTGGCACTATGTCGGCTCACTGCAACCTCCACCTCCCGAGTTCAAGCAATTCTTCTTCCTCAGCCTCCCAAGTAGCTGGGACTACAGGCGCATGCCACCATGCCAAGCTAATTTTTGTATTTTTAGTAGTGACAGGGTTTCACCATGTTGGCCAGGATAGTCTCGATCTCCTGACCTCGTGATCTGCCCGCCACAGCCTCCCAAAGTGCTGGGATTAAAGGTGTGAGCCACCGCACCTGGCCTGTAGTGACTGGGTTTCACCATGTTGGCCAGGATAGTCTCGATCTCCTGACCTCGTGATCTGCCCACCTCGGCCTCCCAAAGTGCTGGGATTACAGGGGTGAGCCACTGCGCCTGGCCTAGCCCCCTGTCTTGATTATATGCTCAGGGTCCTGGGACCAGGGTCATCCCTGGGTTGAGGGTCCAGGGAGAGGGTCCTAGAGTAGAGGATGCGATGAGGCAGTGGTCCAAGGAGAGCAACTTAGAAAAGGAGAGTGAGAGGCCTGGAGATTACAAAGACCCACACCAAGAGTCTAACAGGAGCTGAGAGAGAGGAGGCCAGTCCCTCAGTTCGGGGTCCAGGACATGTGGGAAGGGGCTGCTTTGTACACACTGCAACCTTCATATTTCCTAGAAATGTACAAGAAACCCTCCATTTGTCTGAGCCAGGGCCCTTAGTGTCCTCGGGAGAGAACTTGACCTTGCAGTGCTACTCAGAGATCTGGTTGGGTACCTTCTGTCTGTCCAAGGACCGGTCACTTGTGCCTCCCCAAAACCATCGATTGAAAGACATGGCCTTACTCTCTCAGGCCAAGTTTACTCCAAGCCCTCTGACTTCAGCCCACAGGGGGACCTACTAGTGCTGTGGTCCACATAGTTCCTCCTTACCCCTATTGTCACACCCCAGTGACCCCTAAAGATTTTGGTCTCAGTACAGGAGCTCCAAGCACCACATCCGTTAAGATTCTAAACCTTAGCATGCATCCCTGTGCTAGGAGAGCCCCGGCCTGGGATAGAAGGAAGGAAAAACAGCAGGGACCAGTCATAGGGCAATCCCATCTCAGAAAGGGATGAAGAAATTCATGAAAGTGGGGGTCATTCTCACTCTCCATGCCTTACCCTACTCGGGGGTCACAGAAGGTGCTGGGTGAGTGGAATGAGAAGATTTGAAAAGGTAGGGGGCCAACCTTTGAGCAAAAGAGATGAAGCTGAGGAACAGAGCAAGAGGCACCACAACCCCACCTACTCCTTCTGTCCCTGCCCCAAACAGTCTGTGGGATCTGCAGCTCCTCACCCTCATGGACTCACTTCATGTTGGCTGAGCAACAAGGTCCTCACAGACTACAGGAGTCACAGTCTCCGGCAGCTCTGGGCTGAGTTTCTCAGCTTATTCTTCTGCCCTTGAAGTCTTTACAGAAGAGGTTGTTTCCAGAGAGCCTGGGAAGAAAGGTAGAGATGAAGGGAGGGAGCCTTATTTTCCAAGCAGCATTGAGGTATTTTGTTCCTGCTGGGTGGTCAGTATGAGGTGAAATGTGTAAAGAAAAAGATGAGCATAAGGATAGGAAAAATAGACACTGTGGATTACTAGAGGGTGGAAGAGGGTTAAAAACTACTTATTGGGTATTATGCTCACTAGTTGGGGGATGTGATCCGTACTCCAAACCTCAGCATCAAGCAATATTCCCATGTAAGAAATTTGTACTTGTACTCCCTGTGTCTGAAATAAAAGTTGGAAGGAAGGAAGAGAAAGAAAGAAAGAAAGAAAGAAAGAAGGGAAGAAGGAGAGAAAGAAAGAGAAAGAAAGAAAGAAAGAAAAGAAGAGGAGAGAGAGAAAAGAAAGAAAAAGAGAGAAAGAGAGAAAAGAAAGAAAGAAAGAAAGAAAGAAAGAAAGAAAGAAAGAAAGAAAGAAAGAAAGAAAGAAAGAAAGAAAGAAAGAAAACGAACAAGAGGTCCAGCTGAAGTGGAGAGAGGAGTGGACCCTATTCCTTGCCCCTGTCCATGGTGCTGATTCCTAGGGATTGCAAAGATGCCCCAGGCACCTGTGGAATCAGGTCCGCAATCAGAAGAGCAGACTAAAAGGTCCCTCTTATTCTGTAGGACAAGTGGGTGGGTAAGCTCTTATTGTGAAGGACAAGTGGGTGGGTAATTCACAGAAAGTCATAGCTTGAAGTGGAGATGGCTCAGCCACTCTAAGATAGACGCCTTTAGCAAACTCTATCTAAATCTGGGATAGTACTCTTCCATCCATCAAAGGCAGAATGCCATCCTTGTTTCCAAAAGGTATCTCAGTTCTAAACTTCTGTACCAGTAACTTCCTGGGAAAGAACGTATCAGAATTCACTTTTTCTGTGACTCCTGTCTACTCTGGACATATTTTGTCTCTACCATTAACTGTTTTCATCCTGTGGAGGTAGGAATAAAAGCAAGATAGCAGTTTTCTGATTAGATTTCCATAATCATCAGGTTGTCACCCTGGCAGGAGAAACCACAACACTGAGTACTTGAAAGATAACCTCTCCTGGGTTTGAAACTTCCTGTACAGTGGCGTGATCTCTGCTCACTGCAACCTCCGCCTCCCAGGCTCAAGCGATTCTCCTGCCTCAGCCTCTTGAGTAGCTGGGATTACAGGCATGCACCACCATTTCCGGCTAATTTTGTATTTTTAGTAGAGACGGGGTTTCACCATGTTGGTCAGGCTGGTCTTGAACTCCTGACCTCAAGTGATCCACCCACCTCGACCTCCCAAAGTGCTGGGATTACAGGTGTGAGCCACTGCACCCGGCCACATATCTCCTTATTCTAGTTATTCTCAGAGAGTATTCTGTATATGTATATTTCTCTCCATCCAATGATTTGAGATTGATGGTTTTATTGTAGATAGGTTTTTTTCTCATTTTATGTCTTTATTGATTTTTACTTAATTTATTGCACATCTGTGAATACAGATCTATGTTACTTCACAGCACTTATTAAATTTCCTCATAATCAAATAAGTCTTGTCCACACTAGGAAACTTTCTGCATATTTGTTGAATACTTCAATCAGCTGATCCTATATTGAATAATATTATTTTTCTGGATCTTCATATAATGACCACTTTGTCATTTTTTCATTTTTCCAAACCTGTCACATCCTCAAAGACATTTTCCATGACAAAGTGGGTTAAGTGATTCTTGCCCACCTGTATTCTCTAATAGTCCTTGTATTAGGTTGACACACATTCGAGATCTCTAGGTAGCTTAATTTTTTTGTCCATGTATCCATCTGCACATGTTGTTTTCTAATTTATCTCCTTAAAATTTTTTGCTTTTTTCTCATGAGTTTCTACATTGAATTAACAATGGGAGATTTTTTTCACTGTAGTATTTCTTGCTCCTGGAAAAGAGGCTTGGATGCGGCCCGGCATGGTGGCTCACACCTGTAATCCTAGCACTTTGGGAGGCCGAGGTGGGTGGATCACCTGAGGTCAAGAGTTCGAGACCAGCCTGACCAACATAGAGAAACACTGTCTCTACTAAAAATACAGTATTAGCCAGGTGTAGTTGTGCATGCCTGTAATCCCAGCTACTCAGGAGGCTGAGGGAGGAGAATCGCTTGAATCGGAGGCAGAGGTTGCGGTGAGCCGAGATTGCACCATTGCACTCCAGCCTGGACAACAAGAGCAAAACTCTGTCTCAAAAAAAAAAAAAAGGCTTGGATTCTAAAATCATTCTCTCATTCATCGCAAAACAGGACAGATGAGTGGACCCAATCATTAAAAGTGAGGCAGTGATTATTACTTTTAATAGTAGTAGTATTAAGCTACACTGGACCACAGAGATAATTAGATGAGGCAGAACAATAGAAAAGGCAGTGACAGCCTTTAGCTCTGTTGTACCCTGGACTCTGGTACAATCTAGAGTCCCACATACGCATCTCTGAATTCTGTATTGACAGATGAAGAGTTACTAGAGGTATTTACCTTAAGGGGTTAAGCACGGGTTTACCTAATATGGGAACAAATTGAAGATGAGAAAGGAGCACAGTTAAGTATTCCTGTATCTTTGAATTCCTTTTTTCTGTCACTGAGTTGTGGTTGCAAAACTAAACTCTTAATATCCCCCAAACCGAGAGGTTGGTGGTGACCTCAATGAGGCCCAAGAACTTGAACAAATTTGAGGAAGGAAATCATACAGTGCTCCATCTGAGGTGGGAGTTGAGGTTAGCAAGGATGGTTACACAATTCTCCCATGAGAAGGGAAGAGAGGTCCAGGCGCGGTGGCCCCAGCACTTTGGGAGTCCAAGGCAGGTGGATCATCTGAGGTCAGGAGTTCGAGACCAGCTTGACCAACAAGGTGAAACACTGTCTCTACTAAAAATACAAAAATTAGCCAGGCATGGTGGCAGGCCCCTGTAGTCCCAACTACTCTGGAGGCTGAGACAGAAGAATTGCTTGAACCTGGGAGGCAGATGTTGCAGTGAGCTGAGATTGCACCACTGCACTCCAGCCTGGGCAATGGAGCAAGACTCCATCTCAAAAAAAAAAAAAAAAAAAAAAAAAAAAGAGGGAAGAGAGTTGTTATGAAGGAGCCAAGACAGGGGAGCAGGAGTAGAATGGCCCCAGCTGCTCTAATCCTCCCATGCTCTTATTCGTAGGAGTCCTTGATCCTCTCAACCAGCATCCACCAAGTATAGTTTCAAAGTCAGGAGTAACTACGACTTCTCTTTCAGGAGTGTGAATGTGTAAACACCCATCCAGGCTCCCAATGTGGGTGCAGCCTGTCTAGCCCCCAGTGAATGCCCTGTTCTGTCTACTGACCATGCCCCTTCAGACTATGCAATGGAGAATCTCATTCCAATGACCATGCTGGCTTGATCCTGGCGGTCTCTAGGGGATGATCTTTCAGGCTCAGCACAGCCAGAGAAGGCCCCCAAAGGCCGCCAACATGGAAAGTCAAGATGATTTTGGATTGACTCTTCAGTTTGGAGAACTTTGAAAAATCTGCATCAGAAAAGCTGTGCTGGCCCTAGAAGAATCTGGGAGAGCTGGAGGCACGTGCTGTGTGAACGCTGTGCTGAAGGATTGAAGATGACTACTATTTCTTTTAGGTGAAGGATATGCAAGAAGAAGTTAACCTAACAGTGATGAGGATGCTAACTTTAGAAGGACTTGTTTGTGAGCTTGATTCTTGGTTGGCATCTAGGAACTTGCTTCTAGCATGTCCCCTGTGTTACTAAGAGACAACGTGAGGTTGTGTGCCTGCGGCACTGAATTCTGCTGTTATGTCTTCACTAGGCTGTTTCTGTAAACAGTGTAATTCATGGCGAACACCCGGTTTCCTCTGGTTTCTCTGTAGCTGCTCATTATGCCTATGTGGTCCCCACCTAATAACAATCTTGAACATTGAGTCTCAAGCAGATTTGCCTGGGGCCAACACTGCACATGTGTTGCTGCATTTTATGCTGGTGGAATGAACAAGTTAAGACACAGGTTTGCACAACTTATAACCAACATCATTTTTCTTTTATTTTCTTTCTTATTTCCATAGGTTTTTGGGGAACGTGGTGTTTGGTTACTTGCAGAAGTTCTTTAGTGATGATTTCTGAGATTTTTGTGCACCCATCACCCTAGTAGTATACATTAAACCCGATTTATAGTCTTTTATCCCTCACCTCCTCCCTCCCTTTCCCCCGAGTCCCCAAAGTCCATTGTAGCATTCTTATGCCTTTGCATCCTCATAGCTTAGCTCCCACTTAGGAATGAGAACATAAAATATTTGGTTTTTCATTCCTGAATTTCTTCACTTAGAATAATAGTCTCCAATTTCATCCAGGTCACTATGAATGCCATTATTTTGTTCCCTCTTATGGCTGAGTAGTATTCCACAGTGTATATATATTTGTGTGTGTGCGTGTATACATATATATATGTATATATGTGTGTGTATATATGTATATATGCGTATATATGTGTGTATATGTATATATATGTGTATATGTATAGATGTATATATGTGTGTGTGTATGTGTGTATATATATATGACAATTGCTTTATCCGCTTGTATAATCAACATTATTTTTCTCAAATGTATTTTGGCAAATAAAATATTTTCCAAAAAGTGAAAAAAAAGTTACTCTTATATAACGATGGCCTAAGATACCACCTACTGATGAAAGTGAGGTGGCAATTTTGGATTAACGGGCATCACAGGCAACTACATAGATCCTCTCAGCAAACATACATGAGGAAAACCAAAACCAACCAGACAGCCAGAACCGGAATTAAAAACTAGTCCTTCGACTGGGCGTGGTTGCTCACGCCTGTAATCCTAGCACTTTGGGAGGGCGAGGCGGGCGGATTGCCTGAGCTCAGGAGTTCAAGACCAACCTGGGCAACATGGAGAAACCCCATCTCTACTAAAATACAAAAGAAATTAGCCAGGTGCGGTGGCATGCCCCTGTAGTCCCAGCTACTCAGGAAGCTGAGGCAGGAGAATCACTTGAACCCAGGAGATGGTGGTTGCAGTGAGCCAAGATTGTGCCACTGCACTCCAGCCTGGGCAACAGAGTGAGACTCTGTCAAAAAAAAAAAAAAAAGGAAAGAAGAAAGAAAGAAAGAAAGAAAGAAAGGGGGGGGGAGTGAGGGAGGGAGGGAGGGAGGGAGGAAGGAAGGAAGGAAGGAAGGAAGGAAGGAAGGAAGGAAGGAAGGAAGGAAGGAAGAAGGAAGAAGGAAGGAAGGATTTCTACTCATGACTGTGATAATCTGTGTATTTAAGCAATATTATATGTACAATTTCTTAGTGCTCAGGGTAGATGAGGATTCTTGGGTGGGAGCGTCAATTGTCCAACACCCTGATTTTCTCAAATTTACAACCCTATGTCTTACTCTGTCCTGGGAATTAACCATCATTGAGCTCCTTCGAAGTCCCAGTCACCGCCGACCCCCACGACCCCTCTGATGAGTGGGGTGTGTAACAACTTGCTCCACACAAGGAAACTGAGGCTCAGAGAAGGGGTTGTGAAGGCTCAAGGTCACATGGGCAGCAGATAATGAGCAATCATTAAGTAAAAATCAGCTCCCCATCCCAACAGGTGAGTTCCCCTCAGGGAAACAAAGGACACTGAAGACTCAGGAGTGGATCACAAGTCTGTTTCCAAGGAGACGAAGGTGGATACTGCTGCTAAGAGAAAGGGAAAGTCCATGGAGGGCACGGGTTGATAGAGCAAACTGGCAGTGTTGGATACAGGTCGTGTTCTCTACCCATATTTCCTGTGTTTCTCCATTGCGCTCATTGCCACAGTGCAGCTCAACTTGAACTACACAGCCTGATGTCAGATGCGTCTCTGCTGACCTGAGTCTGCCCTGCACCATGGACCTGCATTTTCCCTGAAGCATCTCCACGACGGATGAGATGACTGGCCATGGTAAGGACCCCACAACCCCGTGCTGATAGACAGGATGAAGGAGTAAAGGAGACCCCATGTGGAGGCTCTGAGAGGGGAAGAGAAGCCCTCAGTTACCCTCACCTGGAAGAGGCTCACTCAGGGAGGCCCTGGGCCCATTTTTCTACTACATCCTAGCCCTCAATAAGATGAGGAAAGATCCTGCAGCCAGTAGCCAAGGATCAGGGGGAGCCCATTTCTGTCTGAAATGTCTTCAGGAAACCTGGTGCTCACTCCCACCTCAGCCCTGGGGAAATGAGAGCCAGGCTTCTGCAGTTCC
This sequence comes from Homo sapiens, assembly GCF_000001405.40. Lineage (NCBI taxonomy): Eukaryota > Metazoa > Chordata > Mammalia > Primates > Hominidae > Homo > Homo sapiens. The sequence continues at coordinate 280,320 of NW_003571055.2, read as the reverse complement.
CCTTCCTGTGGGGCTGCTGATGGGACAACCCCATGACAGGGAGAACCCAGCCTTTGAGTGTGTCTGTCTGTCCTCCTGGACACCATGGTTTCATCCATCTGTACAGCTGGGGCCAGTGGGAGGAGATGCCGTGACTCCCACCCTCACAACCCTACTCTGACTTGGTGAGATTTCAAGAGGAGAAGGGGCACCCTAGTCTTGAAGGGACTTAACTCCAGAGCCAAGCCCTGGTCTATCAGGAAATCTCAGGGGTCAGGATGCTCCCAGGCAGGGGAGGACCTGCTCAGGCTTCAGGGGCAAATCTCTCACAGGGAACTCTCTTCCAGGGCTGAGTCTGAGCTTCAGGACCCATGTGCAGGCAGGTGAGTCTGTCCCCAGCAGTCCCAGGTCGCTCCTGCTCACTGGGGACAACGGGCCACCCCCAGCCACCTGGGGATGGAGAACAGCATCTCTGAGCTGACTGATGGGGACATCTGGGCGGGTCTTGGGACTGACAGCTGGGATTTGAGGAATGCATTAGTATCTTGGGACCCAACCTGTGATTTCATTTCAAGGCTCCTCACTAAACCCACCACCTGGACTGAGCCAGACTGTGTGATCCCTGGGAGGAGGCCTGTGACCACCTGGTGTCAGGGTACCCTGGAGCCCCAAGAGCACCAGCTGGATAAAGAGGGAAGCTCAGTGTCACAGAACATTAAGGAAACCACTGGGGCCTGGGAACAAGACCAGGACCCATATCTCACACAAGCCAGAGCACAATGCAGAGAACTGTCACTGTTATTATCAAAGTGCCACAGGCCGGTCAGGGCACAGTGACCCCCCTGGTGCTGGTGGTGACAGGTGAGAGGACACTCAAGGCGCCCAGCCGCAGGCTCTGTCCTCAGGAAGGGGGTCACTTGCGCCCTGACTTTACTGTCTTTTAGGGATGTCCCATAAAGGGGCAGAAGTGCTGAAGCTCTCAACCTCTGGGTGGCGTCTGCATATCGTGCAGAACCATCTGCAAACCAGGCTTGAGTCTTCACTTTCTCTGTCAACGGAGCATAGAGAAATCCCCATGAGATTATAGGTGCAGGCTGGAAGGCAGAAGGTTGTGTAGCAGGGACAGGAACCATGGGCATTTGGCCCCCTGCTTTGTGTAAATTGCTCACACTTTCAGGGCCTGAGTGGACATGATCTTATTATACAGCTTGCATCGGCTAACACACACTTCACATTTCATGGTACCTTGGTGACCTGTGCCCAAGCATCCAGTCTCTCCTAAGGCTCAATAATGGAAAAAAATATAATATTTTCCTTTTTTTTTTTTTTTGAGATGGAGTCTCACCCTTCTTGCACAGGCTAGAGTGCAGTGGCATGATCTCGGCTCACTGCAATCTCCGTCTCCTGGGTTCAAGCGACTCTCCTGCCTCAGCCTCCCAAGTAGCTGGGATTACAGGCAGGTGCCACCATGCCCGGCTAATTTTTTTATTTTTAGTGGAGACAGGGTTTCACCATGTTGGCCGGGCTGGTCTCGAACTCCTGACCTCAGGTGATCTGCCCACCTTGGTCTCCCAAAGTGCTGGGATTACAGGCATGAGCCACTGTGCCCGGCAAAAAAAAATATATGTTTTTCAAAAGGAGACTAGCTATCTGTGAATGATGATAGGATTTTGCTCCACAATCCTAAGTGTCTAAGCCCCAATTCACCTATAGGAAGGAGCTTGTCAAAACCTCCAAACAGCATCTCGATCTGCCACTGACACTTCAAGCACCATCTGTTCCACTGGATCATATGGCCCAGGTGGCAGAAGAGCTTGTGCAGGACCTGGATCTGTTGCAGAGCCTTCCCCTATTCCACACCCCACTCAAAACTTTTTTTTTTTTTTTGAGATGGAGTCTCACAGTGTTGTCCAGGCTGGAATGCAATGGGACAATCTCGGTTCACTGCAACCTCTGCCTCCCAGGTTCAAGCAGTTCTCCTGCCTCAGCCTCCTGAGTAGCTGGGATTACAGGCGCCCGCTACCATGCCTGGCTAATTTTTTGTATTTTTAGTAGAGACGGAGTTTTGCCATGTTGGTCAGACTGGTCTCAAACTCCTGACCTCATGATCCGCCCACCTCGGCCTCCCAAAGTGCTGGGATTACAGGCATGAGCCACTGCACCCGGCCTCCTTTTGAGTCACTTAGTAAATGGGCTAATGGAGCACACCCACATGAGAAATATGTTGCTTTCAAAATCCAAGAGGTAGGGCCAGGCACGGTGGCTCACGCCTGTAATCCTAGCACTTTGGGAGGCCGAGGTGGGCGGATCATGCAGTCAGGAGTTCGAGACCAGCCTGACCAACATGGTGAAACCTTGTCTCTACTAAAAATACAAAAATTAGCTGGGCGTGAGGGCGGGCACCTGTAATCCCAGCTACTAGAGAGGCTGAGGCAGGAGAATCGCTTGAAATCGGTTGCAGTGAGCCCAGATTGTGCCACTGCACTCCAGCCTGGGCAAAAAAAGCAAAATTCTGTCTCAGGAAAAAAAAAAAAAAAACCCAAGAGGCTTACTAGGTACCATGGTTCTTTTGGTTGTAGGAAGGGCCAGATGCAACAACTTACCTTTTGCTTTAGAAGTTACATCTCAACATTTTCCATATCAGTGGACTCAGAAATTGTGTTGAGGCGGAAGGCTCCAATATTTTTGTGGAATTTATTTCTCACCCTCTGTCATGCAAATGTGTTACTAATAAATTTGGAATAGGTGCTACTTCTTGCTTTCCTGGTCCAAATAGCATAATTTCTTTTTTTAACTTTATTTTATTTTTATTTTTGATATCTAATTTAATTTAATTTTATGTTCTGGGATACATGTGCAGGACCTGCAGGTTTGTTACATAAGTAAACAAACGTGTGCTGTGGTGGTTTGTTGCACCCATCAGCCCATCACCTAGGTATTAAACCCGGCACCCATTAGTTATTTATCCTGAGGCTCTTCCTCCCTTTTCCCCCCAACAGGCCCAAGTGTGTGTTGTTTCCATTCCTGTGTCCATGTGTTCTCATTGTTCAGCTCCCACTTATGAATGAGAACATGCAGTGTTTGGTTTTTGGTTCCTGTGTTTGTTTGCTGAGGATAATGGCTTCCAGCTCCATCCATGTCCCTGCAAAGGACATGATCTCATTCCTTTTTATGGCTGCATAGTATTCCATGGTGTATATGTACCACAGTATCTTTATCCAGTCTGTCATTGATGGGCATTCCAACCAGCATAATTTTATCAATGTAATGATTCAGTCTAACATTTTATGAAAGGAGATGATAATGATGATTATGGTGAGAACTAAACTATGGGATAGAACTAAACAGTTGGTATGTGCCTGAGGTAGGACAGTGAATGTATATTGCTGGCTGTGCCTGCTCAAGGAAAATGGTTTCTGGTGGTCTTTATTAGCAGTGCTGGATAAGAAAGCATGGTGGCTCACGCATGTAATCCCAGCACTTTGGGAGGCCAAGGCAGGAGGATCACTTGAGGTTAGGAGTTCGAGACCAGCCTGGTCAACATGATGAAACCCCACCTCTACTAAAAATACAAAAATTAGCCTGGCATGATGGTGGGTGCCTGTAATCCCAGCTACTTGGGAGGCTGAGATAGGAGAATTGCTTGAACCAGGGAGGCGGAGGTTGCAGTGAACCGAGATCACGCCATTGCACTCCAGCCTGGGCGACAGAGCGAGACTCCGTCTCAAAAAAAAAAAAAAAAAAAAAATAGAAGAAGAAGAAGGAGAAGGAGAAGGTGAAGGAGAGGGAGAGGGAGAGGGAGAGGGAGAAGGAGAAGGAGAAGAAGGAGGAGGAGGAGGGTGTGGAGGAGGAGGAGGAGGAGGAGGGTGCCACTGCACTCCAGCCTGGGCAACAGAGTGAGACTGCATCTCAAAAAAAAAAAAAAAAAGAAAAGAAAGATAGATCTTCTAGACTCTTCCAATTTAGATGAGGCCGTCTTGAATGACAACTCCTCTCTAACATTTTAACCTTCCTAAACATTTGAATCTCTTTCTCCGTAGTAAACCAAGGCAGGTCTGGCATGTTGAGTCTAATCACTTTGGGCCACCTTTGGTGGAAACCTCCACCCTAATGACCCCTTGATGGTCCCAGGCACCTGTGGCGACTCACCTCTGGCCTCTGTTATTTAATGTGGATCCATCTACACTTGGAGACTTCCACGCCTCTTTTTCTGCTCATGATATTGATGTTCTGCATATTTCAGAAATACTTCACGTACATTTCTCCATTAGGGATCCCAGATATGAGATCTTGAGAGAACACATCAATCATCCAACGCTATGATCCTATCATATCCCAAACACTTCATGTGCTGACCTGGTCTGGAAATGAAGCACAGATGAGCCTCTCCCATGTGTCAGGAACCACTGACCCCACAACCACTGTGACCAGTGGGATTTGTGACAACAAGCTGCAAAGGAAGAAACTGAGGCTCAGAGATGGTTCATTACCGCCCGAGGTCACGTAGGCAGTGAATGATAACCAGTCTCTGAATAAATATCAGCTTCCTCCCCCACTCCCCAAATCAAAGCTCAAATATAAGTCATTGTTCCCAAAACGTTGAACAGGGATTAAGGTGCAGAGGGACGGCCAAGGATGCAATGGGCACCGAGGAGGCAGGAAAGACTCAGAGGTTTGTTCCCAGGGACGTCAGGGGTGGACGCTGTAGCCAAAAAAAAAGGGGGGGGAAGTAAAAAAAAAGGGGGGGATTACTATTGATTAGAAAGAAAACCTATAGTCCAGGGCCACAAAGAGGGTCATGACTTCCTCTCTTTATTCCCTGCATTTCTCCTCTGTTCTCACTGCCACACACAGCTCAGCCTGGGCTGCACAGCCAGGTGTCAGGTGCGTCTCTGCTGATCTGAGTCCACCCTGCAGCATGGACCTGCATCTTCCCTGAAGGATCTCCAGGGCTGGAGGGACGACTGCCATGGTAAGGACCCCACAACGCTGAACTGATGGATGGGCTGAAGGAGGGAGGGAGACCTTGAGGGAGGCTGTGAGAGGGAGGAGGTCGCCCTCACCTGAAAGGGGTGACTCAGGAAAGCATTGGTTCTTTTTCCTGCTGCATCCCAGGTCTTAGTGAGATGAAGACAAGGCAGACAGACAGTGGCTGGGGGTCAGGAAAGACCCCATTTCTGTCTGAAATGTCTATAGAGGAGTTGGGCCCACCCCCACCTCAGCCCTACAGGAAAGACAGCCAGGCTCCTGGGAGGGCAGTTCCACTTCCTGTGTGGCTGCAGATGACAAAACCCCATGAGAAGAAGGACCGAGCCTCCAAGTGTCCACACCCTGTGTGTCCTCTGTCCTGCCAGCACCGAGGGCTCATCCATCCACAGAGCAGTGCAGTGGGAGGAGACGCCATGACCCCCATCCTCACGGTCCTGATCTGTCTCGGTGAGATTTGAAGAGGGAGGGAGCTTCTAACCTAGGAGGGACCTCACCCCACAGCCAAACTCTTGTCCCTAAGGAGACCCCAGGGGCTCACAAAGATCCCAGGGAGGGGAGGACCTGCTCAGGCTTCAGGGGCAAATTCCTCATAGGGAACTCTCTTCCAGGGCTGAGCCTGGACCCCAGGACCCACGTGCAGGCAGGTGAGTCTGTCCCTAGCTGTCCCAAGTCCCTCCTCCTCACCGGGGACAAGGGGCCACCCCTGTGCAGCTGGGGATGGGGAATAGCAGTTCTGGGCTGACTGATGGGGGTGTCTGGAGGGTCCTGCAGCTGAGAGCTGAGATCTGTTGGGTGGGAAATGACTTAGAATCTGAACTCTGATTTCCTTCCAGGGCCCCTCCCCAAGCCCACCCTCTGGGCTGAGCCAGGCTCTGTGATCACCCAAGGGAGTCCTGTGACCCTCAGGTGTCAGGGGAGCCTGGAGACGCAGGAGTACCATCTATATAGAGAAAAGAAAACAGCACTCTGGATTACACGGATCCCACAGGAGCTTGTGAAGAAGGGCCAGTTCCCCATCCTATCCATCACCTGGGAACATGCAGGGCGGTATTGCTGTATCTATGGCAGCCACACTGCAGGCCTCTCAGAGAGCAGTGACCCCCTGGAGCTGGTGGTGACAGGTGAGCTGACACTCAGGGATCCCAGCCCCAGGCTCCGCCCTCAGGAAGGGGGTCAGCTCTCAGGGGCTTCTCCCTCTCACAGCCCAGCCCTGGGGATGACGCGGGAGGTCTGAGCCCCATTTAACACGGTGCCTCCTTCTCTCCTAGGAGCCTACAGCAAACCCACCCTCTCAGCTCTGCCCAGCCCTGTGGTGACCTCAGGAGGGAATGTGACCATCCAGTGTGACTCACAGGTGGCATTTGATGGCTTCATTCTGTGTAAGGAAGGAGAAGATGAACACCCACAATGCCTGAACTCCCATTCCCATGCCCGTGGGTCATCCCGGGCCATCTTCTCCGTGGGCCCCGTGAGCCCAAGTCGCAGGTGGTCGTACAGGTGCTATGGTTATGACTCGCGCGCTCCCTATGTGTGGTCTCTACCCAGTGATCTCCTGGGGCTCCTGGTCCCAGGTGAGAAATTCACAGCATTGCCTGGGGTTCCCTGAGTCTCCCTGAGTCTCCAGGCAGGTGGGGAGGAGCCGCGTCTCAGGGCAGCTCCAGGTGGGATGATGTTGGGGCGAGAGGGCTCAGGGCTCCTGGGGCCAGAGACACAGGAAGATCAGCAGTGGTGAGGCCCCGGGGGAGAGGGAAAGTTTGTGGGGAAGCCTGAGGGTCGGCTCCTGGAAACCATGAGCACCTTTTCCCAGGTGTTTCTAAGAAGCCATCACTCTCAGTGCAGCCGGGTCCTGTCGTGGCCCCTGGGGAGAAGCTGACCTTCCAGTGTGGCTCTGATGCCGGCTACGACAGATTTGTTCTGTACAAGGAGTGGGGACGTGACTTCCTCCAGCGCCCTGGCCGGCAGCCCCAGGCTGGGCTCTCCCAGGCCAACTTCACCCTGGGCCCTGTGAGCCGCTCCTACGGGGGCCAGTACACATGCTCCGGTGCATACAACCTCTCCTCCGAGTGGTCGGCCCCCAGCGACCCCCTGGACATCCTGATCACAGGTGAGGAGCCCAGCGGGTTCAGTCAGGGACCCAGGCTCCGCAAAGGCCCTGCTGGGGGAGCCCAGGTGGTGATGGCCGGGATGAGGGGTGGGGGTCCTAAGGGAGGGAGAGACAGACAGTGACAGGGGTGGGCGGGGAGGGGAGACTCAGAGAAAACAGAGACAGAGAGACTGAGGGTCCCAGGGAGAGGCCTGGGGAGGTCTCAGCTCAGAGCAAGGTGGGGCAGCCCCTCACCCATCCTTCTTCTCTCCAGGACAGATCCGTGCCAGACCCTTCCTCTCCGTGCGGCCGGGCCCCACAGTGGCCTCAGGAGAGAACGTGACCCTGCTGTGTCAGTCACAGGGAGGGATGCACACTTTCCTTTTGACCAAGGAGGGGGCAGCTGATTCCCCGCTGCGTCTAAAATCAAAGCGCCAATCTCATAAGTACCAGGCTGAATTCCCCATGAGTCCTGTGACCTCGGCCCACGCGGGGACCTACAGGTGCTACGGCTCACTCAGCTCCAACCCCTACCTGCTGACTCACCCCAGTGACCCCCTGGAGCTCGTGGTCTCAGGTGAGGGCCCTGACCCCGTCCTCTCTGAGCTCAAAGGCTCAGCTCAGGCCCTGCCCCCAGCAGAGCTCTGGGACAATAATGAATGAGGGGAGTGAAGGGGGAGGGTCTGCAGGGGAGGGTCCAGACCATGAGAGGGTGGAAATCGACAGGGACCTCTCACCCCTGGCTCCCACCCCTGAAGTCCCAGTAGAGTAAAGAGCAGGGAGGGCTGGGAGGAGATGGCGGGGCCGGGGGGTGAACCTCAGAGGAGAGGAGATTAGACTGAGAGTGGAAGACGGAGGCCCCACCCGCTCCCCTCCTGATGTCTCCACCTCAGAATCTGAGCCTCTGGGTCCCAACCTCTAAGTCCTGACCCCATGGGTCACAAAAAAAAACAGCCACTCCCAGCTCAAGAGAATTTTCTAGACTCATCTCAATGCTACCTCCAATATTCAGGGTCTGATTTCCAGGGAAGCAGAGGGGAGGGTGGACAGTAAGGGTGTGGTCTGCGTGGCTCCCTGGGGCTCCAGGGATGGGGCAGGTGTTCCCTCCGTAGTGTTCAGAGGGGAGGGAGGTGTCTAAGATTCAGCATTGATGAGTGGAGCAGCGGGGTCTTTCCCCCTCCCTCAGCAGGATTCCCAGGAGCCGTCACCTCTCATTGGAGAGCCAGGGTCAGGGGAGATCACAGTCAGGTACTTGGTCTAGGAGTCAGGTGGGAGGAGCCCGGGGAGGTGGGGCTGGGTCTGTGGTGGTTCAGCCTCTCCTTGGGAGGTGGAACTTCTGAAAGAGACCGTTCCCCTTGCACCCTGGACTCCCCATCTGAATAAGGGGGAGCTGCCTGGATGTGACCGCCCCAAAGCCCCTTCATTTCTGACCTTCTGGGGCATCTGGGATGTGGCTCAATCCTAGACCTGCTCTCATCTCCAGCCATCTCTGGCCCTGTCCTGATTCTCCAAATAACTGAGACTTGTAAGGGTTAAAAAGCCAACAGAGATGGGAGCGGGTGCATGCAGTTTCACTCATCCCTCCTGGAACCTCAGCTTAGTAAGACAAAGCCACAGTATTTTGAAACAACAAAGGTTTACAAAGCCCCACTGTTTTAGAATCTGCTGTCTTTCTTTTTTTTTGTTTTTTTTTGAGACGGAGTCTCGCTCTGTCTCCCAGGCTGGAGTGCAGTGGCACGATCTCGGCTCACTGCAACCTCCGTCTCCCAGGTTCACGCCATTCTCCTGCCTCAGCCTCCCAAGTAGCTGGGACTACAGGCGCCCACCACCACGCCCAGCTAATTTTTTATATTTTTAGTAGAGACAGGGTTTCACTGTGTTAACCATGATGGTCTCGATCTCCTGACCTTGTGATGTGCCCGCCTCAGCCTCCCAAAGTGCTGAGATTATAGGCGTGAGCCACCGCGCCCGGCTGTGTTTGGATGTTTTAAAGCACAGTGGCCTGAGGGAAACTGACTGGGCGGCTCCCTGTGGCATGGGAAACCCGGGGGAGGTCAGCGGGGGCTACAGTGCAGCCCAGCTCTGGGCCTGGGGGGTTCATGTCCAATGTTGTCCAATCACTGGATAATTCTAACATCTAACTAAACCTCTTTTATAGGAAAAAGAGATGCTTTAAAATTGTTAATTTAAATTTAAATCAGAAGAGGGCAATTTGGTAATAAGTTAATATGAAATACAATGAATATACCCAAACCAGTAGCTTTCTCATGGGTACTTATCTTTTGTTTAAAAAATATAAAGGAATCAAATACTTCACTTATAAGTTGTCAAAGGTGTTGAATAATTTGTCATATGAGTTACCTCTGAATATGTCTCTTCTCCTCTGTTTTGATTCTCAGGAGCAGCTGAGACCCTCAGCCCACCACAAAACAAGTCCGACTCCAAGGCTGGTGAGTGAGGAGATGCTTGCCGTGATGACGCTGGGCACAGAGGGTCAGGTCCTGTCAAGAGGAGCTGGGTGTCCTGGGTGGACATTTGAAGAATTATATTCATTCCAACTTGAAGAATTATTCAACACCTTTAACAATGTATATGTGAAGTACTTTATTCTTTCATATTTTAAAAATAAAAGATAATTATCCATGAGAAAGCTACTCGTTTGAGTATATTCATTGTATTTCATGCTAACTCACTACCAAATTACCCCATTCTAATTGCTTTTCTATGGATCTCCTCTAATTTCCTGATGAAATGTATACAAACCATGAGACAATGGAGATTTTACTTATTTCTATATTGCTTGCCAATATTCTCACTTCAAATATCAATATGTATGTAACTACATCTTAAATATCTAAAGTTTTACATCTATACATATTTATGTGTGGTTATATAAGTTACATTTGAATATGTGTGTAAGTATTTCCAAGTTCACTTGATAAATATATCCATATTCTTAATATATTTGATGGCCAGGCGCAGTGACTCATGCCTGTAATCCCAGCACTTTGGGAGGCCAAGGCGGGCAGATCACCTGAGGTCAGGAGTTTGATACCAGCCTGGCCAACATGGTAAAAGCCCATCTCTACTAAAAATACAAAAAAAAATTAGCCAGGCATGGTGGTGCGGCCCTGTAGTCCCAGATACTAGGGAGGCTGAAGCACAAGAATCACTTGAACCCGGGCGGCAGAGGTTGCAATGAACCGAGATAGTGCCACTGCACTCCAACCTGTGCGACAGAGTGAGACTCCATCTCAATAAAAATAAAAATAGGCCGGGCACAGTGGCTCATGCCTACAATCTCAGCACTTTGGGAGGCCGAGGTGGGAGGATCATGAGGTCAGGAGTTCGACACCAGCCTGGCCAACATGGTGAAACCGCCATCTCTACTAAAGATACAAAAAAAGTAGCTGGGCGTGGTGGCGTGCACCTGTAATCCCAGCTACTCGGGATGCTGGGGCAGGAGAATTGCTTGAACCCAGGAGACGGAGCTTGCAGTGAGCCGAGATCACACCACTGCACTCCAGCCTGAGCAACAGAGCAAGACTCTGCCTCAATAAATAAATAAATAAATAATAAAAATAATAAATAAATAAATAAGACATTTGATGTGGTAGGAGTTTACATGTTTGTTACTGGTCTAGATTCACCTAGATTCACACTTTGTAAAAGCAGAAATACTGATTTATGAACCTCTAATAGCACCACTATTTAGCAGACAGATATTTTTGGATGGGGGCCGGGGGGAAGGTATCACATCATTCTAGGTTTTCCTGATTATATGAAGAATTAGTTAATTAGATTAATTGGACAATGAAAACCCAGGTGAAGGGGAGGCAGCCCCAGACTTTCACCGCTTTGTGCTTCTGACATTCGGGAGCCCCTGAGGACCAACCCCTCATCCAGGGAGCCTGGGTCCTCAGCTGGTGGATCCGTGAAACTCTCATCTCCGGGGGAATTGGCTCATGTGCTCCCGTGTCCCAGGCTGCACAGACAGCACACAGGGCTCAGTGACCTCTGTACTGGGGACCACTTTCCTTGCAGATCCTGAGCCCTCAGGGTGAAGGAAAACTCTCCCCCAAATGACTCAAGAGCAACATTTGGATTTGTAGAAAGCAGGAAAGCTGAAATAATTCATTAAGAAGAACGGAACGAACACTGCTACAGAGGAAGAGTTTACTAAGGAACTCCTTAGAACTCATGTCAGGAGACAGGGGAAGATAAGAATGCCGAGCCCATGGGAGAGGCTGGCTCAGGGTACTTCTCCTTTGCTTTGATTCTCAGGAGCAGCTGATACCCTCAGCCCATCACAAAACAATTCAGACCCCAAGACTGGTGCGTGAGGAGATGCTTTCAGTTATGGGGCTGGCACAGAGGGTCAGGTCCTGTGAAGGGGAGGTGGGTGCCCTGGGTGGACATCCAGAGGTCCTGGGTGATGTTGATCTGCCCTGACCTCTGTGGTCTCTTTGCCCACCATCCCCAACCTCACACCCCCAGGATTACACAGTGGAGAATCTCATCCACATGGGCAAGGCTGGCTTGATCCTGGTGGTCCTCAGGATTCTGTTATTTGAGGCTCAGCACAGCCAGAGAAGCCCCTAAGATGCAGCTAGGAGGTGAACAGCAGAGAGGACAATGCATCTCTCAGAGTGGTGGAACCTTGGGAATAGATATGGTGATCCCAGGAGGTTCCGGGAGACAATTTAGGGCCAATGCTATCTGGACTGTCTGCTGATAATTTCTAGAAGGAGGAATCAGTGTTGGATTGCAGAGATATTTTGCAGGGTGATCCATGGAGGACCATTAACATGTGATACCTTTCCTCTCTATTAATGTTGACTTCCCTTGGTTGGATCCCCTTCTTTTCCCACCCCTAGACATGAGGCTACATCCCACATGGCAGGGCTGGATCCACACCTCTGCACATCTGTGTGCTCTGGTCCATGGTGTGTAACACAGTCTTCTTTATTCCTCATTGCCATACTCCCTGGTGTGCTTTATTGAGCCTCCATCTCTTCAGTTCAGAGTTCCAAACGTGCTTCAGTAACTAAATCAATGGGAGAGTATCAGATTTCAACCAGGAAAAGATAAATCCACCCTGATGCCCTGACACCCTCTCCAAACCCTACAAGCCCTTCCCTCCTTCTCAGATGCTACCTGTGTATCTTCTCCTCAGATCACTGTGTAACCATCACTGCCATCCTGTTCCACACATTGTCATCATCCTACACCCATTCAGCAGCCACTCCCCATTCCCTCTTCCCTCCAGCACCTGCTAACCACAAGTGTGCTTTCTGTCTCTACGGATTTGCCTATTCTGTCTGAAAACATTTCAATCTCCTTTGACCTGTGAGCTCCTCACTTCGAGACTTCCTGCCTTTCCAGGCAGAACCAAAGTACACCACGTCAAAAGCAATGATAGGCATTTGCAGTGTGTTGGTGATCCACGAAAGGAAAATCACGGAAGTAGGATAGAAATCCAGCTGCAGACAAGACCTCAGGTCGATGAATCTTGTCAAGCAGTTGAGCTGTTTCTTTCTACTCACCTATGACAGTCAGACAGAAGTATGCAAAATGACTGGGGCTGATTCTTTTCTGAATTGTCCCAAACAGCAAGAGGACTTGAGTCCTAGCATTAAAGAGTTCAACATATCTAGGTCCAAGACGACTGTTGTGTTTGAAGGATGTAAAGCTTTGCTGTATAGGATAGAATGTTTGGAGGGAGGATCCTGAGAAAACATGAAGGACCAAATATTCACAATCTACTCTCTAGAATAAAGAAATGTTATCATTCACCATCTACCCTCTAGAGTAAACAAATCTTATCATTTGCCGTCTACCCTCTAGAGTAAAGAAATCTTATCGTTCGCCAGCTACCCTCTAGAATAAAGACATCTTATCATTCACCATCTACCCTCTAGAATAGAGAAATGTTATCATTCACCATCTACCCTCTAGAATAAAGAAATCATATCATTCACCATCTAACCTCTAGAATAAAGAAATCTTATCGTTTGCCATCTACCCTCTAGAATAAAGAAATGTTATCATTTGCCATCTACCTTCCAGGATAAAGAAATCTTATTAAGGACATTTTCAAAGCCTTAACAGAATATGAATGATTACAATATTATGTTTTACCTATACAGCGTCTTCCAAGTTCTAGTTTGGTTGTGCCAGGCCAAACATTTGAGCCAGATTTCGGCAAGATCAAGCAGGAGACTCTGGCATCTGTCGCTGATTACCTTCCCACCATACCCGGCCACCAGCCTTTCCCATGGACCCCCACATGTGTCTCCAGACTCTCGGGTACGAATCCTGTGAACACACTGACCTCCGCCTTCTGCATGACTGATCAGCAATATGAAATTTGCATAAACACAAATAGAAAATATACTGTCCCCACATTCCCTAAAATAAAACTGGGTCCTCGCCCATGGGCTTTTGCTGGATTATACTAACAAAAGGCAGGTCTTATAACACACATTCCATAGACTCACATCTCAGAGAATGTTGGTTCCACAGGCTCAGGATCCTGAACACACTGCTCCACTCTCAGGGCTCAGAGACATTCTGCATGTGGGTCTTCACCCCATTCGGGAGCCCTAATTCCTTCTTCCTCGGTTTTTCATACAGTGATTTTTCCCAGTCATCTTTAATACCTTCTTTTTTTAAAAAAATAAATAAAGATGAGTCTCACTATTTGCCCTGGCTGGTCTTGAACTCCTGGGCTCAAGTGATCCTCCCCGCTCAGCCTGCAAATCCCTTCATGCCCAGCCCTTACAACTTCATTAAAACACAAAATTTTAGTTTTTATTTCTAAAACTTTTTGGATTATGTTACATTTTGTTGAATATTAATATTTCCAATAGATATTTTACTAGTATACCTTTCTTCACTTACTGATTGTAAATTATCATTTCATTTTAGATGGTACTATTGTGTTTCATGCCTAGGTGTGATTGGGGTACTGGGCTATTTAACTTATCCTTCAGTGGATGAATTACTCTTTTACATACAGGATTAAAAAAAAAGAAAAATTTGGAATAACTTCACCTATTTAGTTAAGTATTCACTCAATTATATATTTTCGAATGAGGATTCATTTATCCTTGCCTTTAGAGAAGACACGTTCTAATTCCACTGTAGCTGAACTCTGAGTACTCACATGTGTACATGCACACTGACTCATACATGTGTGCCCGTGTGTGGTTGCATTCATGTGGGCATGTCTGTGTGTGATTTTCAAATACTTGCCTGTTTCTCACTTACATCACTGTGGCATCTCATATTCTACATTTTGGATTCATTGATTCTTTTTTTTTTTTTTTTTTGAGACGGAGTCTTGCTCTGTCGCCCAGGCTGGAGTGCAGTGGCACAATCTGCGCTCACTGCAAGCTCCGCCTCCCAGGTTCACACCATTCTCCTGCCTCAGCCTCCCGAGTAGCTGGGACTATAGGCGCCCACCACCACGCCCAGCTAATTTTTTTGTATTTTTAGTAGAGACGGGGGTTTCACCGTGTTAGCCAGGATGGTCTCGATCTCCTGACCTCGTGATCCGCCCTCCTCGGCCTCCCAAAGTGCTGGGATTACAGGCGTGAGCCACCGCGCCCGGCCGGATTCATTGATCTTCCAACTGGATGATATCATTTAAAATTGCCTTCACTGAGCATGAAAACAGTAATATCTAGTAACTTGCAGCTCAGAAAATGCCTTCTTTTTCCTCCCACTCTCTCTATCAAAATAGATGAAAACATTTCTGTATTAGTTAAAGGGTAAGTATAACACCTGGAAGAGAAAGCACATCTGATGATTTGAGAGATCCACCCTCCAATCCCTCCTCAGCCCTCACGAAGGGGAAGCCCAACCAGACAGCTTCACAGGTCCGTCTTGCCCTGAGCCTTCTTCTGTTTAGGAATTGGTCCCCTGCTGACCCCTTTACCTTTCAGGTATTAACCTGAGTAAGTATAGAATTCCTCACTTGCAGTTAGTCCCCTGAGAGTACTCTCTTAGCATCTCCTTCCCTTATCTTTTTACTATCGGGAAGTCCAGTCCCACTGAGAAGCAATGCTATTGACATGTTGAGTTGAAAATCACAAAACACAAAAATGCATTTTAAATTACATAATTCAGTCTAGCATATGTATTTTTTAATTTACTCCTATTTTTCAGTTTATCATGAGAGGTCAAGATTTGCATTTTGGCCAGGCGCGGTGGCCCACCCCTGTAATCCCAGCACTTTGGGAGGCGGAGGCAGGCGGATCAGGTGAGGGCAGGAGTTTGAGACCAGCCTGGCCAACATGGTGAAGCCCCATCTTTACTAAAAATACAAAAATTAGCCGGGTGTGGTGGTGCGTGCTTGTAGTGCCAGCTACTCGGGAGGCTGAGACAGGAGAATCGTTTGAACCCGGGAGGTGGAGGTTGCGGTGAGCTGAGATTGTGCCACTGCACTCCAGCCTGGGCGACAGAGTGAGACTCTGTCTCGAAAAAAAAAAAAAAAAAGATTTGCATTTCATGCTTAAATGTATGCACACTAGTGACTTAATTACTTCCTCCCTGAAGACCCCAATGGCACCAGACACAAATGCTCTGTCAGTTTTAATTTTCTCTTTAATGCAGGCGCTTCTCCTTCTGACAAGCTTTCATTTCTCATTTTCTGGACATGACTGTGATAACCGGGGTGTTGATGAAATATTATGAGAAGCATCTCTCAAGGGCAGGAACAAAGGGGCTCTCCTTAGTGGAAACATCAATCTCAGGCCTTGATGGTGGGCGCCAGCATCCCCTCATGCCCCCACCCCTCCTGTCTTCACCTGCTCTGGAAATTACCCATGGCTGAGCCCCCTGCAGTCCCCAGGCTCCAATGACCCAGCTCCCCTGTGATAAATGGGGTTCATCACAGGCTCCAAATGAGGAAACCGAGGCTCAGAAATGGGAGGTTACTGCCCAAGGTCACACAGGCAGGGGGTGACACATGAATATTTAAATAAAGACAAGATTTTCCCTCAAAGCAGAGTGCTAACCCCACGTATTGTCCCAGAACCTTGAACTCAGGAGCACAGGATGGGAACAGGAGTGTTTGAAAGAAGACGGGGGCACCAAGAAGGCAGAGTCAGGTCAATGTTGTTTCCAGGGAGACGGGGGCGGACGCTGTTGCGATGAGTGAATGAGAAGTTCGTGAAGGGAACGTTTTTGCATAAAGAAAACCCACACTCCAGTTCTGGGAAAAGAGACATGATTCCTTCCCTTGTCTCCCTGTATTTCCCCTTTCTGTTCATCGCCACAATAAAGCTCAACTGGAACTGCACAGCAAGATGTGAGACGAGTCTCTGCTGATGTGAGTCTGCCCCGCAGCCTGAATTTGCATCTTCCCTGAAGCTTCCCCAGGACTGGTGAGAAGACTGGCCATGGTAGGTTCCCCACAAGGGTGTGTTTATGGGTGAGCTGAAGGAGAGAGTGAAACCCCATGAGGAGTCTCTGAGAGGAAGGAAGAACCCTCCGTTGCCTTCACCTGGAAGGGACCAACTCAGGAAGGCACCACGTCCATTTGCAGCTACGTCCCGGCCCTCAATGAGACGAGGACATGTCAGGCAGACAGTGAAAGGAGATCAGGAGAGATGCCATGCGTGTCTGAAATATCAGCAGAAAGCCTGGTGCCTGTCTCAAAGGATGGTTCAATATATGCAAGTCAATAAAGGTGACTCACGACATAAACTAAGAACAAAAAGCATGTGATCATCTCAACCGATGCAGATAAAGCATTCGAGAAAGGCCAAGTCCTGGGAAAACATGAGCCAGCGGGGTCCGGGACAGCTCACCACCCATGGAGATGCTGGTGGGAAAATCCTGTAAGTGGGAGTAAGGAAGGAGACCACTACTACTCCTGCTGCCCTCCTCCCCCCACCTTGCCTAGTTCACAAAACAGGAAGAGAGAAAAAGCCAAAAGTTGGAAAAATACAAAAGTAAGATAAATAGCCAGACAACCTTGGCACCACCACCCGGCCGTAGGAGTTAAAAAAAGTAATAATAATAACATCAACCCCTGACCTAAACTACTGGTGTTATCTGTAAATTCCAGACACTGCATGAAAAAAGCACTGTAAAACTTTTTGTTCTGTTAGCTGATGCATATAGCCCCCCACAGTCATGTTTCCCACGCTTGCTTGATGTATCACGACCCTTTCACGTGGACCCCTTAAAGTTATAAGCCTTTAAAAAGGCCAAGAATTTCTTTTTCGGGGAGTTCGGCTCTTAAGACGCGAGTCTGCCCACGCTCCCAGCTGAATAAAAACCTCTTCCTTCTTTAATCCGGTGTCTGAGGAGTTTTGTCTGCGGCTCGTCCTGCTACAGGAGAGCCCTGCCTCTCTGTGCCATGACTGTCACTCCCATGGCCATGGTCCACTTCACTGAGATTTGACGAGGGGAACGGGAGATTCTAGCATGAGAGGGACCCTGCCCCACAGATAGGCCCTGGTCCAGTAGGAGACCCCAGGGGCTAGGGAGGATCCCATTCTCATTTTCCTGGGAAAATGTTTTCACTTCTCCCCATTCAATTTGATGTTGGCTGTGGGTTTGTCACGCAGGGGGTGTTGGTATTTTGCGGTATGTTTCTTTCATGCCTAGCCTGTTGAGGGATTTTATCACGAAGCGATGTTGGACTTTCTTGAAAGCTTTATCTGCATCTATAGAGATGATCATATGCTTTTTGTTCTTAGTTCATGTCATGAGTCACTTTTATTGACTTGCATATATTGAACCATCCTTTCTTCCCTGGAATCAAGCCAACTTGATCATGATGAATTATGTTTTTGATACACTGTTAGATTCCGTTTGCTAGTATTTTCTTGAGGATTTTTGCATCTGTGTTCCTCAGATTTCTTGGCCTGTAGTTTTATTTTTCTGTTGGATCCTTGTCTGATTTTGCTATCAGGATGATACTGATTTTGTAAAATGAGCTGGCAAAGAATCCCACTTCCTTGATTTTTGGAATACTTTCAGTATGATTGGTACCAGCCCTCCTTCGTACATACAGCTAAGTTCAACTGCGAATCCATCTGTTCCTGGACTTTTTTGCTGGAAGATTTTTAGTACTGATCCTTTTTCATTGGTTGTTATCGGTCTGTTTAGAGTTTCTATTTTTTGCCTGTGCAATCTTGGGAAGTTGTGTGTGTCTAGGAATTCATCTATTTTCTCCAGGTTTTCTAGTTTATGTGCATAAAGGTGTTCATAGTAGTCTCTGATGATCTTTTGTATCTCTGTGGTGTTGGTTGTAATGTCAACTTTATCATTTCTGATTGTGCTTATTTAAATCTCCTTTTTTTGGTTAGTGTAGTCAGCCATCTCTCAATTTTATTTATACTTTCAAAAAACCAACGTTTTCTTTCATTGATTCTTTGTAATGTTTTTGTGTCAGTCTCATTCTTTATCTGTCCTTTCAGAGTTTCCATTGTTTTCAGCATCCATCACTAGCGAGCCAGTGCGATCCTTTGGTGGTGCCACAATATTCAGATTTTTCACGGCGTCAGAATCCTTACACTGATTCCTTCTCATCTGGAGAGGCCTCCACTTACTCTCTTCGAATTTATTTTCGTTTGGATGGGATTTCTTTTGCACATTTTCCCCCAGCCCCGCAGGGAGGGTGACTGTAGAGCATGTTGGGAAGGGTCTTTTGGCTTTTCCCATGGCTTTGGGAGCTTCTGCAGCAGGGTTTGCATTGGGCTGTGCAGCTCAGATTGCAGGCCAGGAGCTGGTGCTTAAGGGTAAGAGCCACGCTCGGCACAAGCAGGTGGATGTGGACCTGGTGTGTTTCCTGTGAGGTGCTGACTCTTGTTTCAGGGGAAGGGCTGGACCGTGGAGTGTCAGGTGCCCTGAGCTTCCTGTTCCACAGGGGCGAGGGAACACCCCTGGGCAGAGCTGGAACCCCCGGCTTGCCCACAGATATCCCAGTGATGAGTGCAGGCACTAGTCCTGATGGACATGGCTGGAGCAGCTCCTAGTGAAATGCCCTGAGGTCTCTGCGGGGAGTGAAGGAGCTACACCGTTTCCAGTCCCATAGGGAGGAACGTTGTCTGTCTCCCTATCACACCCGTGCTCCAGGGCTCATGAGTCTCAGTTCAGACACACACTCTTGTCTCTCCCCAGGCCACAGTGTGGCTGAGGGCAGTGGGAAACACCTGCCTTGCCACTCTCTGCAGGCGTGGTTCCAAGGCAGAGCCTCCTCCCTCAGCCCAGTGCAGACCCTGAGCGGCTGTCTGTTGTCTGACGCGGTAGCTGCTTCATGTAGGTGGGATGTGGGGCTTCTGCCTCTCTGGATGGGAGAGTGGACGTCAGTTGTGGTGGTGTTGCTGGCTGGGTGGGCCCGACCTCAGGCCCTGGGGTGAGTGGTCAGGTGCCAGCAGGTAGGAAAGGGCAGGTAGTTCCCGGATCACAGGCCCCTAGGTGGCCGGCTGGACAGCGTGTGTGAGTCCTGAAGGGGCTGGACTGGGTTTCGGCTGCTCCGGGGTTCAGATGCTGGCTGTGATGGGGAGGGATGGGCTGGTCCCCAGGTCACCGGCAGAACCTTCAGGCGGGGCAGGCAGAAGGCTCAGGTGGTAGAGCCTGCGGCAGATCACAGGCCTGTGGGGACTGGGCTCTCAGAAGGGCTGGGGGCTGCAGCTGAAATGTCCAGGTGGGGGCAGGGTGGCTGTGCTGTGGGCCTGTCACTAGGGAGGGCAGCGCCCCTCGGCTGGGGCACTGGAGACTGGCAGCTGTGAGGCACAGGGCCCGCTCACACTTCCCTCCTGAAGAAGTGTCACTCGGTTTTGCTCTGGGGACACGTGAAAGTGCCAGGCCTCCCCACACCCTCCCTGGGCCTGGGGCAGCAGGGGCAGAGGCAGAGGTGGCAGTGACTGCAAAGGGCTTGTCAGGGGCCTCTGAGCATTGGGCTTTCAGAGGGCACCGAGCCAGGGCCACGGTGTTCGGGTGGGGGCAGGACGGGTGACTGGGGCCCTGCAGCTGGCAAGCCCCATTAGCAGGAAGGAAGCCCCATTTCGCAGGAAGCAACAGAGGTGGGCAGCTGTGTGGTGCTCAGCTTGGCTGCTCCTGTGCCCCAGCTGTCATACTTATTCTGGGGCCCACAGAGGTGCCTGGCCTCCTCCCTCCCTGCTAAGGCAGTGGCAGCTGGACCCAGGCTGCTCAGGGATCAGAAGCCTGTGGGATTCCACGTGGGCTCCAGTGGGGCCTTGGTACAGTCTCCAGGAGCAAACTGTGGGCCTCTGGAGGCCCAGAGGGGACAGGCGCTCTCCTGTGGGCAGGATCCTAAGGGCCCACAGCAGAGGTGTAGATGCCAGGGACCCCTCACTCACTCACCCCTTCCCTGTGTTAGGGAGGCTCTCACTCATTCACCCCTTCCCCGTGTTAGGGATCCTCTCACTCACTCACACCTTCCCCGTGTTAGGGATCCTCTCACTCACTCACCCCTTCCCCGTGTTGGGGAATCTCTCACTCACTCACCCCTTCCCCGTGTTGGTGAATCTCTCACTCACTCACCCCTTCCCCGTGTTAGGAGCCTCTCCTGGCTCCCACCTTTTCTCTTCTCTTCTCTCCATGTCCTCATGTTTCTCAGGTGAACCCCAGCATCCTCTTGGAAGATCCACTTGACCTGTTGGTATTTACTCGCTATTTTGGGTCCTCTTAGTGAGTAGGCAGACTCCAGCCCTTTCCATTCAGCCAACTTGAACCTCAGCCCCCAGTCATTTTCTTGCACTTTTTACTCTTGGGAAATCCAGTCCCAATGTGCTTGTCTTTCATTGGACAATAATTTTCATTTTCTCCAGTAGTTTTAAAATTACTTTGTATCTATTCTAGGTATCTTTTACTCTATCATAGTTAAGACATTGATGTTATTTATGAATTTGTTCACGTTAAACTCATGTTCTTTCTTCATTTCTATAAAAATGTCAACCATTTTCTTTGCAAGTATTTACTGAATAACATACTCCTTATT
Organism: Homo sapiens; assembly: GCF_000001405.40. Lineage (NCBI taxonomy): Eukaryota > Metazoa > Chordata > Mammalia > Primates > Hominidae > Homo > Homo sapiens. The sequence continues at coordinate 259,285 of NW_003571055.2, read as the reverse complement.
TCCTTCATTCTGAAAGTGTGATCCAAAGAGAGATATCTGTTTCCTCTTTTCATTCCATTTCTTGTGTGCATTAATTATCTTTTCTATTTTTTTCATTTCTAGTTTTTCTCTGATGACTAATGAAAAATTTTAGTAAATATTCTACACCAATACAATGTTTATCATTTCAGCTGTGTCTTGTTCTGGATGAAATTATTTCTAAATGTGTTAATATAATTTACTATTTTCACATCACAATAGCTTCCTAATTCATTTCTACAATTGCCTGTTTTTTCTCTAACGGACTCTTTGATTTTTATTCCTCTGGGGTGGGTTTTTCTCCCACACACCTGATCTTCCATATAGGGTTTCTCCCCAGGCTGACTCAGGAAGGAAAGCTGATGAGGGCATTGCTGTAGCCGCTCCTGCCCTGCGGTGTCCATGCTCCCAAGCTTAGAATCACCTCTGTGTTATGCCCGGCATGGCGGGGTCCATGTGAGCCTCACACTCCAGGGTCAGAGATGCCCGGTCCAACAATGATAAAGCGCATCTGTGTCATGCACACCCGGGAAGGTGGCTCAGTGCTGAGTGTAGCCCGGGTCACTGAGTCATCCCAGGGTCTGTCCACAAACACAGAAGAGGGGGAGTCACAGTCTCTAAGGTCCCACAGTTTCCTCCACTTTTTTCCTTGTTCTGAGAGTGAGACAAAGGGCCATGACTGTTCTGTGGGTTGGACAGATGCATGTTTCCACCTGCAGGCTGGAACCCAAGCTGAGGTCTTGAGCATCCCCAAGTACTGATAAAGCACTTTAGGTTGTTTCTAGAAAACACTGAAAAATTAACCCTTTTGCTAAAAGTGTAGAAACAAGCCCTCCCCTGAACCAAATTCCTGAAACTCTCAGGTTAAACTTCGTAACCCCATCCCTTCACTGCAGACTCCCAATAGAAAAGTTACAGGTGCAAGGATGAGATGACTTTGGTCAAACTCAGACCCCACAGGGCCAGGAAGGCCTGAAGGAGAGGAGGCCCATGCTTCCACGTCTCAGATAAGAACTGTTTCTAAGGACTTTTAAAAAACCCATAAGAAACTCTTCCATGTCCTTCAGCCCCTTCTGCTTTGACAAGGTTTATCACTAGATGTTCTTTAGGACGTCAGGAATTCAGATAAGATGCTCTCAAGAGAACCATTGACCAGCAACAGCATCTCCTCCAATGGACTGACAGCAACTCTGGCTTTGAACCTGTGGAACCAGGGAACTCTGTTTCCAGGCAGCTCTGTCAGGCTCTCCCTTGTTGCTGATAAGAACTTCCTTTACCTCTCTATGTACAGAGAGCTCTCTCTACGGTGCTTTTCCTCTACTCTCACGTCACAGGAATCATCAACACAGAAAAAGACTTCTAGGACCAGATGTATGGGGTTTTTTTCCCCAGACGCAGTAGCGAACAGCAGCTGGGTGTCCTCTAAGTCAGCTCTGGTGCTGTCTACCCAGAGACAGTCCCGGATCCCACAGATTGAAGGCCCATTCCCCAAAACTGCCCCCAACACCATTCCCAAGTCCAGACCTCCAGAACTTCTGACTGACTGGCTTCAAGTTGGGGATCCCATGCCCCACTCTTTGGGTTTGATTAATTTGCTGTAGCAGCTCACAGAACTCAGGAAACACTGACATTTCCTGGTTGAATACAAAGCACACTGCAGAGGACACAGATGAAGAAACTCATAGGAGGAGGCATGGGGGAAGAGGCCCGGGGCTTCCATACCCTCCCTGGGCGTCGCCCTCCAGGAGCCTTAGCATGCTCAGCCACCCAGAAACTCATGAAACCCAGTCCTCTGGGGCTTTTATGAAAGCTTCATGACATCAGCATTTCCTCCCACAAGGAACAGGGTGAGACTGTCTTCTGGGAGGGTCTTAAGATCCACTATCAGAAAGGCAGGGAACATTCGAGTCTTACTTTGGGTTAGGTGAAGGAAGGGCAGGAGGAGGTCAGAGGCCTCCCCTGAGGCCCAGCACAGCCAATGTTATAACAAAAGACTATAACAAGGGCTATGGGAGTTACAAGCCAGGAACTGCGGGTGAAAACCAGCATATATCACAACATCACACTTCCCTCTCTGGACACACTGTGGCTTGCCATGCCATGCACTCCATATTGTAATCCTTGCTTCTCACTCCCAAATAAACTCAAAATCCAGGCAACCCTGGAGCAATGCAGCCTTGAATTCCAGGGGTCTCTTATATGCACACTTTTTCCAAACAAACGGGGATCAAAACTATAGCATTTGTGAGAAACAAGACTTGCGTATATGAACGGCAGACTTTTCCTATATGCAGACCCAGCAGAGACAACGTCAGGGCTGGAGTACGAGCAAGTGTTGGTACATGTAGGGGGTACTGAAACGAATTGCCTGTGTATCCCAAGAAACAACTGTACTGAGAGATCATATTTTCTAGGGGTTTATTTTTGGTTTTGTTTTTATTTTAGGTTAAAGCTTTGGATAGAATACCCAGTGTCTCCTTGTCCATCTGAAGAACATGCTGCTATGTGGAAGCACATCCTTGAGATCCACAAGGAGACACTGGGCAAGAAGACAAGGATGCCCCACTGTGCAGAGGTCCCCCTAATAAATGCTCTATGAACACCCTGGTGTTTAGTGCTTCTTTCCTTGGAATTC
>NW_003871093.1:0-88070 GCF_000001405.40 Homo sapiens | reverse complement strand
TTATTGATATCTACTTTTTTAAAAACCTGCTGTGGTAAGCCCTGTACATGTTTTTTAAATTTACACCTAAGTATGTTTTAGAGAGATTGTAAATGACATTTATTTCAATTTCTGTGTCCATGCATTCATTGCCAATATATAGAATACAGCTGATTGTGTATGTTTATCTTGTAGCTTCCAATCTTTCAAAACTCATTCATTAGTTCTCAGAGTTTGCTTGCTTATTTGTTTGTTTGTATTCATAGATTCCTTGAGATTTTCTATGTAGATAATCATGCTACCTACAAACAGAGACAGTTTTATTTCTTCCTTTCCTTTATTTTTTTTTCTTGCCTTATTGTGCTGGTTAAAACTTTGAGCACTGTGTAGAGTAAGCAGTGAGATTTAGTATTTCCAGTTCAGGGGAAAGCATTCGATCTTTCACTGTCATTTATATTTTCAAAGAACCAGCTCTTTGTTTCACTATTTCACATTGTTTTCTTCATTATTATTCTGTTTTCAATTTCATTGATTTCTGCTTTTATATTTATTATTTCCTTCCTTGCGCTTGCTTTTAGTTTATTTTTCTCTTCTTTTTCTAGGTTCTTGAGGTGGGAGCTTAGATAATTAATTGAGACTTTTCCTCTTTTCAAATGTATGCATTTAATGCTATGACTTTCCCTCTCATCACAGCTTTAATTGTGTCTCGCAAGTTTTGACATGTTGTATTTTCATTTTCATTCATTTCAATGCATTTTTAAAAAATTTCCCTTAAGTATTCTTTGATGACCTAGAGATTATTCAAAAGTATGCTGTTTAGTTTCCAAGTGTTTGAAGATTCCCCAGTTATCTTTCTGTCATTAATTTCTAGTTTGAGTCCATTGCAGTTGGAGAACATACTCTATGATTTCAACTCTTATAAATTTGTTGAGATTGTTTTATGGCTCAAGATGTGGTCCATCTTGAAATATATTCCATGGACACTTGAAATGAATGTGTATTTTACTATTGTTGGATGGACTGTTCTATAAACGTTAATTAGATCCTGTTGGTTGATGGTGTTTTTGAGTTCTTCCATATCTTTGTTGATTTTCTACTCATTTTAGTTCTTTTCTGTCAGCACTTGAAAAATAATGAGAAATCCACTGTAGTTTTAATTGTTTTCCCCTAAAGATAAAGTTTTTCTTTCTCTTGTTGCATTTACAACTTTTTCTTTATCTTTACTTTTCAGAAGTTTAACTACTATGTGTGTTGGCACAAATTTCTTTGAGCTTATCCTGTTTGGGATTTGTTCACCTTCTTGAATTTGTAGGTTTATGTCTCTCGGTTAATTGGGGAGATTTTCAACTATATTGTTTTTGAGTACTTTTTCACCCCTGCCCTCTTTCATCTTTCCTTCTAGGACTCTGGTGAGATGAATATTAGATAATTTGTTTTAGTCCCACAGGTCCCTTAAGCTCTGTTAAATTTTTAGGCTTTTCCAGTGTATTTTCTCTGTTGTTTGGATTGGACATTTCCTAATGTTCTATCTTCTAGTTCACTGATACTTTTCTTTTTACCTCCGTTCTGCTGTTGAGCCATCAACTGAGCCTTTTATTTTGGTTATTGGGTTTTTGAGTTCCAAAATTCACATATATCATTGTATCTTTTATTTATTTGTGGCACTTTCTACTCTTTCATTTGTTTAAAGTATATTTTAAACATACACTTTATGTTTTGCTCATTGACTTTTCTTTTTTTTAGACGGAGTCTTGCTTTGTCACCAGGCTGGAGTGCAGTGGCCCGATCTTGGCTCACTGCAACCTCCAACTCCCTGGTTCAAGCGATTCTCCTGCCTCAGCCTCCTGAGTAGTTGGGACTACAGGGGGCCGCCACCACACCCAAATAATTTTTGTGTTTTTGGTAGAGAGAGGGTTTCACCATGTTGTCCAGGATGGTCTCAATCTCTTGACCTCAAGATCCTCCCACCTCGGCCTCCCAAAGTGCTGGGATTACAGGCATGAGCCACCACGCCTGGCTTCATTGATGTATTTTTATCATGACTTGCTTTAAACTCTTTGTCAGATAATTCTAACATATCTGATATCTCAACGTTGGCATTTATTGATTGTCTTTTTTCATCCAGTTACATATCCTCCTGGTTTTTGTATGTTAAGTGATTTTTATTAGTATCTGGCCCTGTTTGTATTATGTTATGAAACTCTGGATCTTATGTAATCTTTTGTTTTGGCTGGCTTTCTCTGACATTGTTCTAGCAAGGGACTAGGGGCTACCTCATTACTGTCACATGAAGGTAGATTAGTTCCCCTATTCAACCTGTGCTGACAATCAAGGTAGGGGAGCACATCATTACTGCTGAGCAGAGATGAGAACTCCGGCCCTTCACATGGTCTACACTGGCACTCTATGTCTATGTCTGTTGGGGACGGGGGTCATTACTGGCTGGCAGAGATTAGGGTTTCACAGCCCTACTTGGCCTTCTCAGACATTAACTCAGTGGGAGGTGTTAGGGAAACTCATTACAGCTTCTCAGGGATGGAAGTCTATCTCCTCACCCGGCTTTTACTGGAGTGATTGGCAGTGAAGCTGTAGTTGTTTCTGGAGCACAGCAGATACCATCTAAATGTTTTTCTTCTTGCTAAGCCACCTCTTTTCTGACCCTTTAGGTAGAGAGAAGCATTTATTGGAACTGTGTGTGTGTGTGTGTGTGTGTGTGTGTGTGTGCATCCACTAGAGTTTCAGAGTTACAGGCTTCTCAAGCTCCAAGTCTGGGGGGTACTTGCAGCACAAAGAAAACCCAGAGAACCCCACCTTATTGTTCCTTAAGTCCTGAGGCTTCTAGCCTGGCTGCTTTCTTCACTCCACCTTTCAGAGTCCTCTCGTGTTTGCTTTATATATAATATCCAGAATTTTTAGTTGTACTTAGCAGAAAGAATATGGAAAAGTATGTCCACTCCATCTTCCCAGTCAGCAAATCTTCAACTGGGTTTTAACTAAACATAATAAATGCATTTAAAGACATAAAGGAAGCTATTACCAATATAGACAAATACAAAAACACACACACACACAACATGAATAAGAACCAACCAGAGACTATCCTGCAACGGCATTAACATTTTGGTTTTGATCATTGGGCTGTGACAAGAAACACACACTGAAGTACATAGGGATAAAGTGGTATTTAGTGATAAAGGGAAATTCTATCTGCAACTTACTTTTAAAAACCAACAGTAGTAACACATATATGTATAGAAATAATGTTAAAGAAGCATGGTAAAATGTTAACATTTGAGGAATCCAAGTGAAGGCATATGGGAATCCTTTGTACTGTGTTTACAATTTTCTATGAGTATGAAATTATTTCAAAATGAAAAATTAATAAAAACAAACATGTATAATGGGGTAGGAGACACAAGCAGGCATAATATCTGATACTAAATTAATAATAGAGCATATAGTCATTAAAGTACACAATAAGTGAGATAAGCTGCAGAAGATATACTGACTTGGAAGACCAAAATGGAAGAATCTCTAATGTTAAGGAAAAAATGTGTAACTCAATTATAATGAAAATATTACATATCAAGACTTGTGGGGTGTTATAAAATGATCTTTGATAAAATGTACACACTTTAAATAGCCTTTAATATTTAAATATTAAACAAGAATAAAACCTAAAAATAAATGAACTAAGTGTTCACCTAAGTGAATAAGAAAAAGGAAAACAACCAAAATAGCATAAAATGTAAATCAATGAACTAGTTAAAAACGATATCACAGAGAAGATGAACAAAGCCAAAATTTCTTTTTCAAAAAAAATACCAATAAATGATAAGCCATTGACAAGATTGATCAAGAAATGTAAAGAAGACACAAATAAATAATATTCTGGATGAAAATGAGAACATATCCAGCAATAAAGCTGAAAATGTTCCATAATCAAAGGAATCATAATCAAAGCTGTTTCCAGTATTTACATGGAAAAGTATTTACATGGAAAAGATGAACTTGGATTCTGATCACTCATCATGTAGGAAAAAAATCAATTCCAGGTGTATCAATATCTTGAAGGTCAAAAAAAATCTTAAATCCTCACTAGATGATTTATGTGATTTTTTTTATTTTTAGGTAGATAAATACCTCCTGACCAAGACAAAAATATTATTATTCGAAAAGAAATGACTGATAATTTTAACTGGATAAAGCTTTAGAAAACTTAACCATCAAAAATCACATTTCAGACTGAGAGAAGGAATTGTGATAAACCCCTTTAACGCCTATCTCTCCTCTGCTCTCTATGTGGACTCTATTTCTTCTGGCATTTGGCCATAACAGCTGCAGCTGCTGCAGCAGGTGGACTGGCAGCAGGATGTGCTGCAGCAGCAATTTTGAAAACATACAAACCCATGTGTTTCTTTTTTTACCCCATGTGTCTTCCTTCAAGGATCATAACCCAAAGCTGATTGTCATCCAATATCTGCAAACAGTTGTTTTATATATTTACAAAGCTTTTATTATTGTTTATAGCAGGAGGATAAATCTTATACTAGCTTCTACATTACAGGTGGCATCACAAGCCCTCCCTAAACTTGGTTTTTAACTCATCACCATGACTCAACATCATCCTATCTTCAGAGGTACTTTCCAAAGTAAATAGCAATAAGGAAAAACAGATGGTGACTAACAATTGTCCTGACATCTCACTAAGCTACATAGGACCTGTTAGATGACCAAATACTGTACTCAGCTTTAAAAATGAGGATCAGTGCTTAATTGGTAGGGAGAATGATTCATTTCTCAGTTCAGGAAAATAGTCCTGACTGGTTATTTGTCAATTAAGAAAGCAAATAAATCAATTACTCAAAGAAAATTCACAGCACTGAATAGACAACTTCCTCCTTGGGACATTTCCCAAAAGACTAGAGAAGTATCAAAGACAAGTTCTGCTCGTTAATCCAAACTTTGGGGTACCATGTATAAAAGGTTCAGATTGAATAACGTTATCAAACTCTAGGAAACTCACCTCTGAACAGGAGTGCACCCTCCACCCCTGACGCCATGACCCACTGCTGCTCCCTTTGCTGCCAGCCTACGACGTGCTGCAGGACCACCTGCTGTGTGTCCAGCTGCTGCCAGTCTTGTTGCCACCCCCCCAGTTGCTGCAACACATCCTGCTGCCAACCTAGCTGCTGTGCACCCGTCTACCAGAGAACGTGCTACCATTCCATGTGTGTCTGCCTGCCTAGTTGCCTAGACCAGATATGTGGATCCAGCTGCTGCCAGCCCTGCTGCCTGCTGCCCAGCCTACTGTGAGGCCACCTGCTGCAGGACCACTTGCTGCCAGTACACCTGTGTGACAAGCTGCTGCCAGTCTTCCTGCTGCAGCACACCCTGCTGCCAGCCCACCTGCTGTGGGTCCAGCTGTTACGGCCAAACTGGCAGTGGGTCCAGCTGCTGCCAGCCCAGCTTCTGTGCACCCATCTACTACAGGAGAACTTGCTACCACCCCATGTGTGTCTGCCTGACAGGTTGCCTAAACCAGAGCTATGGATCCAGCTGCTGCTAGCCCTGCTGCCAATCAGCCTGTTGTGTGTCTAGGGGCTGCCAGCCTTGCAGTTATTGATCAACTTACCACAGATTACTACCTGCATAGAATAAACTTCCATCATCAGACCAGCCAGGTATCCATTTATTCTTTTTTTTTTTTTTTTTTTTTGAGACCCAGTTTCGCTCTTGTTGCCCAGGCTGGAGTGCAATGGCATGATCTTAGCTCACCGCAACCTCCACCTCCTGGGTTCCAGCCATTCCCCTGCCTCAGCCTCCCGAGTAGCTGAGATTACAGGCATACGCCATCATGCCCAGCTAATTTTGTATTTTTCGTAGAGATGGGGTTTCTCCATGTTGGTCAGGCTGGTCTCAAACACCTGACCTCAGATGATCCACCCGCCTTGACCTCCCAAAGTGCTGGGATTACAGGCATGAGCCACCACGCCCAGGCCAGATATCCATTTCTATGGCAAACTCACTCCACTTCCTCTGCTGATAACATACATACTGTCACTAAACTGTCAGTCATCTTCTTGTTAACAAATTATGAACTTGCTTAATGAGTGTAGCCTTTTTCACTCCGATAGTCTCTTCATTGAGCCAGCTGCTGGTCAGCTTCATCTGTTCTTGACCTGGATTTATGATCTGAGCGTTGACAAAATTATCTTTGTTTTTTTACTCTAGGAAAATTTCTAAAAAGAAAAAAAATTCTCATAGCTGTCTTATTAATTTTTTTTTCTTTTTTTTTAAACAGAGTTTCACTCTTGTTGCCCAGGCTAAAGTGCAATGGCGCGATCTCAGCTCACTGACACCTCTGTGCTCCCAGGTTCAAGTGATTCTCCTGCCTCAGCCTCCCAAGTAGCTGGGATTACAGGTTCCTGCCACCACATCTGACTAATTTTTTGTATTTTTAGTAGAGACGGGGTTTCACCATGTTGGCCAGGCTGGTCTCAAACTCCTGACCTCAGGAGATCTGCCCACCTCGGCCTCCCAAAGTGTTGGGATTACAGCCATGAGCCACCACACCCGGCCCTTATTAGATCTTTACAATGATAAATATCATTTTGTTTCAAATTAATACTCACTTTTGTGACTTTCCATGACAACTCTGTATTATCTTCTTAGCAGAAAGGAGCATTGCTTTATTTATTTCCTAATAAAGCGTTTACTATAGTGCCTCCTGTGTTGTGTTTTGTTTTGTTTCAGTGATTGTTTTGCATCTCACATATATTATCTCATCTAAGTCACATAGAAGCCTCAAACTTGGACAGAACCAAGATGAGTAAAGTGGCCTGCATCGTGTCATGTAGCTAAGGATGGACAGAATTGGCTCTAGGCTCAGGGTTTCTGATTTCACCTCTACTGATGTCACATTTACAGAATTATACTAAGGACTTAGAACCGGGAAGGGGTGCACTCGAAGTTGTTCTCTGACAATGGAAACACCAATTCCACGCATTTGCAGACCATTTTCTACTAACAAAGTTCTTTCCAAATTCATTCCCCTAACCAATAGCCACATCTTAAGAGCAACAACTCGTTTTAAGAGCCCTCGTGAATCATGTGAACATTTTATATTCTCAGTCTCTTGTCAGGCACTGGTGAAGTTCTTTAAATATTTTTGAGCACCCATTGTGTTCCTGCCTCTGTCCTGGGACTTTGGTGTGAGAGGCTCATCTAGAAATACTTGTTTGTTGAAATAATGGAATTGGCATTCTGTTTGTCCTCATTCTTCTGGTCACCTAAATAAATGGTAATAGAAGATTAAGTCATGGCCCAAAAAACTTAGGCCACATTTCATTTGCACCCAAACTTTGAGAGATAATTTGTTTTCACATCAAAACTTTTTATTCCTGGCTTACTGTTTTTTTATTGTGGTAAAATACACATAAAATTTACAATTATAATCTTTATTTATTTATTTATTTTTGAGATGGAATTTTGCTCTGTCACCCAGGCTGGAGTGCAGTGGCACGTTCTCAGCTCACTGCAACCTCCGCCTTCCAGGTTCGAGCGATCCTCCTGCCTCAGCCTCCCGAGTAGCTGGGACTACAGGCATGTGCCACCATGCCTGGTTAATTTTTTGTAGTTTTAGTAGAGATGGGGTTTCACTATGTTGGCCAGATTGGTCTCAAATACCTTACCTCGTGATCCACCTGCCTCAGCCTCTCAAAGTGTTGGGATTACAGGTGTGAGCCACCGTGCCCAACCACAATTATAATCATTTTTACATATACAGTTCAGTGGAAGTAAGTACACTCATGTTGTTAGACAACCATCATCTGTCTCCAGAAATTTTAAAAAATTTTTTAAATTATTTATTTTTTATTTTATCAACTTTTATTTTAAGTTCTGGGATACGTGTGCAGGATGTGCAGGTTTGTTACATAGGTAAATGTGCCATGGTGGTTTGCTACACAGATCAACCCATCACCCAAGTATTAAGCCCAGAACCCATTAACTGTTCTTCCTGATGCCCTCCCTCTCATTGCCTGCAACAGGCCCCAGTATGTGTTGTTCTCCCACCCCAACGTTTGTCCATGTGTTCCCATCATTCAGCTCCCACTTATAAATGAAAACATGTCATTTTGGTTTTCTGTTCCTGTGTTAGTTTGCTGAGAATAACAGCTTCTAGCTCCATCCATGTCCCTACAAAGGACATGATCCAGTTCCTTTTTATGGCTGCATAGTATTCCATTGTGTACATGTATCATATTTTCTTTATCCAGTCTACTCTTGATGGGCATTTGGGTTGGTTCCATGTCTTTGCTATTGTGAGTAGTGCTGCAGTGAACATATGCATGCATGTATCTTTATGATAGAATGATTTCTATTCCTTTGGGTATATATCCAGTAAAGGGATTGCTGAATCAAATGGTATTTCTGGGGATGGTGCTATCTGGTCCAGCTACTATGCTTTTCTATGGTCTTCACAACTCACAGACCAGGAGATTCCCTCGGGTGCCTACCACCACGGCCCTGGGCTTCAAGCACAAAACTGGGTGGCTGTTTGGGCAAACACCAAGCTAGCTGTAGGAGTTTTGTGTTTTTGTTTTGCTTTGTTGTTGTTGTTGTTGTTTTCATATCCTAGTGGTGCCTGGAATGCCAGCGGCACAAAACTGTTCACTACCCTGGAAAGGGGCTGAAGCCAGGGAGCCGAGTGGTCTTGTTCAGCAGATCCCACCCCCAAGGCACCCAACAAGCTAAAATTCACTGGCTTGAAATTCTCGCTGGCAGCACAGCAGTCTGAAGTCGACCTGGGACACTCGAGCTTGGTGCGGGGAGGGGCGCCCACCACTGCCAAAGCTTGAGTAGGCAGTTTTCCCCTCACAGTGTAAACAAAGTTGCCGGGAATTTCGAACTGGGTGCGGAACCACCTCAGCACAGCAAAGCCACTGTGGCCAGACTGCCGCTCTATATTCCTCCTGTCTCGGGAGGTCATCTCTGAAAGAAAGGCAGCAGCCCCATTCAGGGGCTTACAGATAAAACTCCCATCTCCCTGGGACAGAGCACCTGTGGGGTGGGGCAGCTGTGGGCACAGCTTCAGCAGCAGACTCAAACGTTCCTGCCTGCGGGCTCTGAAGAGATCAACTGTTCTCCCAGCACAGCGCTCAAGCTCTGCTAAGGGACAGACTGCCTCCTCAGGTGGGTCTCTGACCCACATGCCTCCTGACTCCTCCCAGCAGGAGTCAACAGACACCTCATAGCGGAGAGCTCCGGCTGGCATCTGGCAGGTGCCCCCTGGGACAAAGCTTCCAGAGGAAGGAGCAGGCAGCAATACCCAGGCAAACAGGGTCTGGAGTGGACCTTCAGCAAACTCCAGCAGACCTGCAGAAGAGGGGCCTGACTGTTAGAAGGAAAACTAACAAACAGAAAGCAACAGCATCAATATCAACAAAAAGGATGCCCACGCAAAAACCCAATCCAAAGGTTACCAATATCAAAGACCAAAGGTGGATAAATCCAAGAAGATGAGGAAAAACCAGCACAAGAAAAGGCTGAAAATTCCAAAAACCAGAATGCCTCTTCTCTTCCAAAGGATTACAACTCCTCACCAGCAAGGGAACAAATCTGGACAGAGAATAAGTTTGATGAATTGACAGAAGTAGGTTTCAGAAGGTGGGTAATAACAAACTCCTCTGAGCTAAAGGTGCATGTTCTAACCCAATTCAAGGAAGCCAAGAACCTTTATAAAATGTTACAGGAACTGCTAACTAGAATAATCAGTTTAGAAAAGAACATAAATGACCTGATGTAGCTGAAAAACACAGCACGAGAATTTTGTGAAGCATATACAAGTATCAATGACCAAATGGATCAAGCAGAAGAAAGGATATCAGAGATTCAAGATCAACTTAATGAAATAAAGCGTGAAGACAAGATTAGAGAAAAAAGAATAAAAAGGAATGAACAAAGCCTCCAAGAAATATGGGACTATGTGAAAAGACCAAACCTATGTTTGATTGGTGTACCTGAAAGTGATGGGGAGAATGGAACCGAGTTAGAAAACACACTTCAGGATATTATCCAGGAGAACTTCCCCAACCTAGCAAGACAGGCCAACATTCAAATTTAGGAAATACAGAGAACACCACAAAGATACTCCTCCAGAAGAGCAACCCCAAGACACATAATTGTCAGATTCACCAAGGTTGAAATGAAGGAAAAAATGTTAAGGGCAGCCAAAGAGAAAGGTCGGGTTACCCACAAAGGGAAGCCAGGAAGCCCATCAGACTAATAGTGGATCTCTCTGCAGATACCCTAGAAGCCAGAAGAGAGTGGGGGCCAATATTCAACATTCTTAAATAAAAGAACTTTCAACCCAGAATCTCATATCCAGCCAAACTAAGCTTCATAAGTAAAGGAGAAATAAAATCCTTTACAGACAAGCAAATGGTGAAGGATATTGTCACCACCAGTCCTGCCTTACAAGAGCTCCTGAAGGAAGCACTAAATATGGAAAGAAAAAACTGGTACCAGCCACTGCAAAAACATACCAAATTTTAAAGTCCATCGACACTATGAAGAAACTGCATCAACTAATGGGCAAAATAACCAGCTGGCATCATAAAGACAGGATCAAATTCACATATAACAATGTTAACCTTAAAAGTAAATGGGCTAAATGCCCCAATTAAAAGACGCACACTGGCAAATTGGATAAAGAATTAAGACCTATCGGTGTACTGTATTCATCAGACCTGTCTCACATGCGAAAATTGAGACCTATCGGTATACTGTATTCATCAGACCCGTCTCACATGCGAAGACACACATAGGCCCAAAATAAAGTGATGGAGGAATATTTACCAAGCAAATGGAAAGCAACAAAAAAAAAGCAGGTGTTGCAATCCTGGCCTCTGATAAAACAGACTTTAAACCAACAAATATCAAAAAAGACAAAGGGCATTACATAATGGTAAAGGAATCAATGCAACAAGAAGAGAAACCTAACCTAAGCATATATGCACCCAATACAGGAGCACCCGGATTTATAAAGCAAGTTCTTAGAGCCCTACAAAAAGACTTAGACTCCCACACAATAATAATGGGAGACTGGCCGGGCATGGTGACTCACACCTGTAATCCCAGCGTTTTGGGAGGCCAAGGTGGGTGGATCATGAGGTCAAGAGTTCAAGACCAGCCTGGCGAGCATGGTGAAACCCCATCTCTACTAAAAAATACAAAAATGAGCTGAGCATGGTGGCACGCACCTGTAATCCCAGCTACTGGAGAGTCTGAGGCAGGAGAATCGCTTGAACCCAGGAGGCAGAGGTTGCAGTGAGCCAAGATCGTGCCACTGCACTCCAGCCTGGGTGACAGAGCAAGACTCCATCTTAAAAAAAAAAATAGTGAGAGACTTTAACACCCCACTGTCAGTATTCGACAGATCAACAAGACAGAAAATTAACAAAGATATTCAGGACTTGAACTCAGCTCTGGGCCAAGCAGACCTAGTAGATATCTACAGAACTCTCCACCCCAAATCAACAGAATATACATTTTTCTCAGCACCACATAGCACTTACTCTAAAATTGACCACATAATTAAAAATAAAACATTCCTCAGCAAATGCAAAAGAATGGAAATCATAACAAACAGTCTCTGAGATCACAGTGCGATGAAATTAGAACTCAGGATTAAGAAACTCACTCAAGGCTGAGTATGGTGGCTCACATCAGTAATCCCAGCACTTTGGGAGGCCGAGGCGGGCAGATCATGAGGTCAGGAGATGGAGACCATCCTGGATAACATGGTGAAACCCCGTCTCTACTAAAAATACAAAAAAAAATTAACCAGGCATTGTGGCACGTGCCTATAATCCCAGCTACTCAGGAGGCTGAGGCAGGAGTGAGCCCAGGAAGTGGAGGTTGCAGTGAACCGAGATCACACCACCGCACTACAGCCTGGGCGACAGAGCAAGACTCCATCTCAAAAAAAAAAAAGTGGGAGACTTTAACACCCCACTGTCAATATCAGACAGAACAATGAGACAGAAAATTAACAAGGATATTCAGGACTTGAAATCAACTCTGGACCAAGTGGACCTAATAGACATCTACAGAACTCTCCACCTGAAATCAACAGAATAAACATTCTTCTCACTACAACATAGCACTCTAAATTTCACCACATAATTGGAAGTAAAACAGTCTCTCAGATCACAGTGCAATCAAATTAGAACTAAGGATTAAGAAACTCACTCAAGGCCAGGCACGGTGGCTCATGCCTGTAATCCCAGCACTTTGGGAGGCCGAGTGGGCAGATCACAAGGTTAGGAGATCGAGACCATTCTGGCTAACACGGTGAAGCCGTGTCTCTACGAAAAATACAAAAAATTTAGGCAGGCATGGTGGCAAGCGCCTGTAATTCCAGCTACTCAGGAGGCTGAGGCAGGAGAATCGCTTGAACCCGGGAGACAGAGGTTGCAGTGAGCCAAGATCACGCTACTGCACTACAGCCTGGGTGACAGAGCGAGACTCTGTCTCAAAAAAAGAAAGAAAGAAGAAAGAAGAAAGAAAGAAAGAAAGAAAGAAAGAAAGAAAGAAAGAAAGAAGAAAGAAAGAAAGAAACTCAAAACCACACAACTACATGGAAACTGAACAACCTGCTCCTGAATGACTATGGGTAAATAACAAAATTAAGGTAGAAATAAATAAGTTATTTGAAACCAATGAGAACAAAGACACAATGTACCAGAATCTCTGGGACACAGCTAAAGCAGTGTTTAGAGGGAAATTTATAGCACTAAATGCCCACATGAGAAAGTGGGAAAGATCTAAAATCGACACCCTAACATCACAATTTAAAGAACTAGAGAAGCAACAGCAAACAAATTCAATAGCTCACAAAAGACAAGAAATAACTATGATCAGAGCAGAACTGAAGGAGATAGAGACACAAAAAATCCTTCAAAAAATCAATGAATCCAGGAGCTGATTTCTTGAAAAGATTTACAAAATAGAGCACTAGCCAGACTAATAAAGAAGAAAAGAGAGGAGACTCAAAGAGACACAATAAAAAATGATAAACGGGAGATTACCACTGATCCCACAGAAATACAAACTACCATCAGAGAATACTATAAACACCTCTACTCAAATAAACTAGAAAATCTAGAAGAAATGGATTAATTCCTGGACACACACACCCTCCGAAGACTAAACCAGGAAGAATTCGAATCCCTAAATACACCAATAGCAAGTTCTGAAATTGAGGCAGTAATTAATAGCCTACCAACCAAAAAAAAAGCCCAGGACCAGACGGATTCACAGCCAAATTCTATCAGAGGCACAAAGAGGAGCTGGTACCATTCCTTCTAAAACTATTCCAAACAATAGAAAAAGGTAGACTCCTCCCTAACTCATTTTATGAGGCCAGCATCATTCTAATGCTAAAACTGGGCAAAAACATAACAAAAAAAGAAAATCTCAAGCCAATATCCCTGATGAACATTGGTGCGAAAATCCTCTATAAAATACTGGCAAACCGAATCCAGCACCACATTACAAAGCTTATCCACCACAATCAAGTCGACTTCATCCCTCGGATGCAAGACTGGTTCAACATAAGCAAATCAATAAATGTAATCTATCACATTAATAGAACCAATGACAAAAACCACATGATTATCTTGATAGATGAAGAAAAGGCCTTCAATAAACTTCGACACCTCTTCATGCTAAAAACACTCAATAAACTAGGTATTGATGGAACGTATCTCAAAATAATAAGAGCTATTTATGATAAACCCACAGATAATATAATACTGAATGGGCAAAAGCTGGAGGCATTCCCTTTGAAAACCGACACAAGACAGGGATACCCTCTCTCACCACTGCTATTCAACATAGTATTGGAAGTTCTGGCCAGAGTAATCAGGCAAAAGAAAGAAATAAAGCATACTCAAATAGGAAGAGAGGAAGTCAAATTGTCTTTGTTTGCAGATGACATGATTCTATATTTAGAAAACCCCATCGTCTCAGCCCAAAAACTCCTTAAGCTGATAAGCAACTTCAGCAAAATCTCAGGATACAAAATCAATGTGCAAAAATCACAAGCATTCCTATACACCAATAATAGACAAGCAGAGAGCCAAATCATAAGTGAACTCCCATTCACAATTGCTACAAAGAGAATAAAATACTTAGGAATACAACTTACACGAGATGTGAGGGACCTCTTTAAGGAGAACTACAAACCACTGCTCAAGGAAATAAAAGAGGACACAAACAAATGGAAAAACATTCCATGGTAATGGATAGGAAGAATCAATATCATGAAAATGACAATACTGCCCAAAGTAATTTATATATTCAATGCTATCCCCATCAAGCTACCATTGACTTTCTTCACAGAATTAGAAAAAACTACTTTAAATTTCATATGGAACCAAAAAAGAGCCTGCATAGCTGAGACAATCCTCAGCAAAAAGAACAAAGCTGAAGGCATCATGCTACCTGACTTCAAACAATACTACAAGGCTACAGTAGCCAAAATCCATGGTATTAGTACCAAAACAGATGTATAGACGAATGGAACAGAATAGAAACCTCAGAAATAACACCACATATCTACAACCATCTGATCTTTTACAAACCTCACATAAACAAGCAATGGGGAAAGGATTCCCTATTTAATAAATGGTGTTGGGAAAACTGGCTAGCCATATGCAGAAAACTGAAAGTGGACCCCTTCCTTACACTTTATACAAAAATTAACTCAAGATGGATTAAAGACTTAAACATAAGACCTAAAACCATAAAAACCCTAGAAGAAAACCTAGGCAGTACCATTCAGGACACAGGCATGGGCAAAACCCCTATCAAAAAGTGGGTGAAGGATATGAACAGACACTTCTCAAAAGAAGACATTTAGCTAACAAACATATGAAAGAAAGCTCATCATCACTGGTCATTAGAGAAATGTAAATCAAAACCACAATGAGATACCATCTCACACCAGTTAGAATGGCAATCATTAAAAAGGCAAGAAACAACAGAGGCTGGAGAGGATGTGGAGAAATAGGCACATTTTTACACTGTTGGTGGGACTGTAAATTAGTTCAACCACTGTGGAAGACAGTGTGGCAATTCCTGAAGGATCTAGAACCAGAAATACCATTTGCCCCAGCAATCCCATTACTGAGTATATACCCAAATGATTATAAATCATTCTACTATAAAGGCACATGCACACATATGTTTATTGCAGCACTGTTTGCAATAGCAAAGACTTGGAACCAACACAAATGCCCATCAGTGATAGACTGGATAAAGAAAATGTGGCACATATACACCATGGAATACTATGTAGCCATAAAAAAAATGAGTTCATGTCCTTTGCAGGGACATGGATGAAGCTGGAAACCATTATTCTCAGCAAACTAACACAAGAACAGAAAACCAAACACTGCATGTTCTCACTCATAAGTGAGAGCTGAACAATGAGCACACATGGACACAGGGAGGGGAACATCACACACCAGGGCCTGTCAGGGAGTAGGGGGATACAGGAGGGATAGCATTAAGTGAAATACCTAATGTAGATGACGGGTTGATGGGTGCAGCAAACCACCATGGCACGTGTATACTTATGTAACAAATTTGCACGTTCTGCACATGTACCCCAGAACTTAAAGTATAATTTTTAAAAATAGGCCATATCAAATAGCCTAGATGTATAGTAAGCTATATGATCCAGGTTTAAGTACACTCTACAATGTTCACACAATGACAAAATTACCTAGTGGTTCATTTCTCAGAACCTATCCCCATTGTTAAATGACAATAACAGGATTCATGTTTTGGTAAAAATTAAAAACAAAATTTAACAAAAAAAAGAGAGCAAAAAGGAAAGATAAAACACAGCATGTGACAAAATATTTATACCATATCCACTCAATAAATGATAAACTCCTGATACATATATATCTTATATAAGTTTATAGAAAATAATCTCCACATTATCTATCTATCTATCTATCTATCTATCTATCTATCTATCTATACACTAGTCAGAACATACGTCCAAAATCTATAAAACACTAAGAAATTAACAACCATGAAGAAGTATGGGTAGAAGACTTGAACAGGCATCTTATGAAAAAGGAAAAAGGAACAACCAATGCCTATTAGACATTAGTCATCAAATAAATGCAAATCTAAAACATAAATACATACCAGTACAATTCAGAAGGTTCACAATATTAGGGTCAAGCAGGAGTCACTACTGGTTGTAAAATGTTGAAACACTGCTTTTTTCTTTCTACTAATGCTGATTATAAGTGTTTCCTATGACGTGGCAATTTCACTCCTACATATATTCCCAGAGGGAAGAATTTGAATGCCACATTCCCATATAAGAAATATTCATTTTCAAATCCTTACCAGACTAGAATAAATTTGGCTAGCTTCGAAGCCATTCATTCTTTTTAAGATGCCTGTGCATAACTTTGCTCTGTTTCTTTTTGTGTAACTTTGAAGTTCCAAGGGCAATCTAATCTTATTTTTCTATCCAAAGCCATCCCTCTGTAGGGTCTAAATAGTGATATTTCTTACATGTTAGTGTAAACTTTCACTTCATTCATTTCTGCCATAATATTTAAGAACCGATAATGATATTCTGTCATACACGTCTACTTATATTCTCAGGAAACTCAGTGTTTACTTTCCACTCTCTTCAAAAATCTACATGTAAAACTCAGTGCAATAGGCCTGTTGTTAGAGAGCTGCATGGGCTCTCATGTTTTATGTGTTTGTTAATCAAGTGATAATCTGATACCACTGTCTCGTTATTTGGGATCCACCAATCACACTTTCCCCCAGGTTCTCCTCAATGAATTTAACTGATACCTACATATGCTGATGTAATTTCCTCCTCCTATAATTTGAGTTGCAGATTAAAGACAATTCCTCACTCACGTTTTCTAGATTAACACAATATTGTTGTAGAAATGACTAAGTACAGATTTCAGATAATTGGGCTAGACTTCATTGTTTCTGTCAAAGTAGATAAGAAAGACTACAACTGGGCTACAAGTATCTCCTGGGAGTTCCCCCCATGGGGTGTGTGTGTTTGAAAGGGACCCATGGGATAGTCTAGTGCCCCTGTTGAAAAAAGAACTGTTGATCCCCAAGCCCACACTCTGCAATAGAACTGCTAGAGTATTTCATGGGGCATGAAATTGCCTTTAGAAAAACCAATACAGGGGGTCACATCAAGGTCAAATTGGGCACAGAAGGGTAGGAATTTTGCTATATTCGGAATTTCTTTACTTAGAGAAGGTAGAGGAAATAGAGTAAGAATAGGAGAATATATTTTTGGAATGCAATGATAGTAAATATCCTAAACAAAATATAAGTAAATAAAATCCAATGGCATATACATATGATCGTAACCACATGAATTGTTTTCAGAAATGCAAGACTGGGCTAATATTTGAACATTAATCAACTTTTAAAATAACACATTTTGGGAAGCCGAGGCAGGTGGATCTCTTGAGGTCAGGAGTTCGCGATCAGCTGGCCAACATGGTGAAACTCTGTCTCTATTAAAAATACAAAAGTTAGCTGGGCATGGTGGTGTGCTCCCATAGTCCCAGCTACTCGGGAGGCTGAGGCAAGAGAATCTCTTGAACCCGGGAGGTGGAGATTGCAGTGAGCCAAGATTGTACCACTGCACTCCAGCCTGGGTGACGAAGCAAGACTCTGTCTCAAAAAACATAGAATAAAACAACACTTACTGAAAAGGTAGAATAATCATAACATTATTTCAGCTTATAAAGAAAAAGCATTTTGTAAATTTCAGTACATTTTCAGTTTTCTGTCTCTCAGAAAATAAGGAATAGAACAAGCCCTGTTGCTATGATGAAATGAATCTACAAAAAAGACAGAAAGCATCGTAATTAATTGTGAAATACTGAGAGTTCTCCTTTCTATCCAACGAATATAAAAAGATATACACTACACCATTCTATTAGACATTGCCCTGGAGGGTCTACCCCTGGACAAGGGCCAAAAAAAAAGCAAGATTAAAAATACTCTTATAAAGCGAAGAAAACTATTACTATTTTTTATGAGTCATGACTGCACATGTGCAATTTTCTGTCACACCAAAAAAAAATACAAAAAGTATTAGAATTAACAAGCTAGGACCAGAACTCAGCTTGATTTGCCCGAATCTAGAGCACTTACGTCACAGAGAGTCCCATGCTGGTAAACCCTTCAGTCCCAGGCAAATCAGGGTAAATGGCAACACCATCACAGAGACACTCGATGCTTTCTGAATCCCAGTGGACTCCTTTTTCTACCCACCTGCTTTGGTCTAGCTCCGCATTTTGGAATACATTGTGCCAAACACCCTTTCCCTAGTGAGTGTAATAGAACTGGAAGACACAGGTGGAATAGTTTGTAGCGAGAAAGATGCTTGTTACTCTTGAATCAGACTTTTGTGGGTAAATAGGCTTGGTGCCGGGCACGGATTCAATGCATCACTGTGAACATAACAGCATCACGCGACTGCCCACAGACATTTCCCAGTCTACATACAGTCAACCATGAGGCTGGACAGAGAGAACTATCTGCTTCCCGGATCACCAGGAACTATCACATGACCAGATGATGGTCAGAGCAGGAATGATGCTGATGATGAGACTGCCTTCCTTTTATCTGAAACAAAGTTTTTATGAGTAATTCTCAATTAAGAAACAGATTAAACCCTTACTTTCAAAAGATTCATAAGATTTCAGAAACAACTTCCCCTTTGACAATCGCAAAGGGAGTATGGAAAACAGTGTAAACAACAACAAGGAAAAGTCCTGCTGATTGGTGGAAACTTTGGAGGCCAGATGTATAAAAGGTCCAGATTGCAAGGGGTCATCAGATTCTGGGAAACTCACCTCTGAACAGAAGCCCACCCTCCACCCCTGACACCATGACCCACTGTTGCTCCCCTTGCTGTCAGCCTACCTGCTGCAGGACCACCTGCTGCAGGACCACCTGCTGGAAGCCCACCACTGTGACCACCTGCAGCAGCACACCCTGCTGCCAGCCCGCCTGCTGTGTGTCCAGCTGCTGCCAGCCTTGCTGCCGCCCAACTTGCTGTCAAAACACCTGCTGTAGGACCACCTGCTGCCAGCCCACCTGTGTGACCAGCTGCTGCCAGCCTTCCTGCTGCAGCACAACCTGCTGCCAGCCCACCTGCTGTGGGTCCAGCTGCTGTGGCCAAACCAGCTGTGGGTCCAGCTGTGGCCAGAGCAGCTCCTGTGCACCTGTGTACTGCAGAAGAACCTGCTACTACCCCACGACTGTCTGCCTGCCTGGTTGCCTAAACCAGAGCTGTGGCTCCAACTGCTGCCAGCCGTGCTGCCGCCCAGCCTGCTGTGAGACCACCTGCTGCAGGACCACTTGCTTCCAGCCCACCTGTGTGTCCAGCTGCTGCCAGCCTTCTTGCTGCTGATCACGTTCCAAGAGAACCACCATCCTCACACAACAAATTTCTGCTCAACTGACTCATCTTTTGGGGGACTAATTTAATTTGCTGCTGACAGCCACCATGCTCTCACCCAAATTTTTATGAATTCTCTACATGTTTAAAATCTTGGAAATCTGCTTGAGGGAGGGCAGAATACTTCATCCTGATTCTCTTTTTCCTTACACCTTGTGGATCATGTGCCAGCTTCATCTGTTCTCAAGTTTGAGTCATGGTCTCAGCTTTGACTCTAAAGTCAAGAGCTTCATTCCCTGCTTCTAAGGAATTTAGGTTTCTGCAACTGATCGATGATCTTTGCAATCTTTTTTTTGTTTTCAATATCCTCCTCATCGTTCTTGTATCCTTCTTTCTTCTTTTCATGATAAATTTGTGTTGTGTCCCTGGTAGCAGAAATCCTTACCTATATGTTTCTGAATAAATTCTGAACCATCCTCATCTCATATAGTGTTTTGTTTTATTTGAAAGCACTCCTGATATGGGATTTACACACATATCACATACCATAGTTATTATCCAATTTGATTCTCAAAACAGGTGGTCATGCATTATTACCTTCATTTTTCACCTGAAAAAAAATTAATATGTGATGTTATGTAGCTAATAAAGGACAGATTCTGATCCAAGCTGAGGTCCTCTCTTTCTGCCCAAGGACACTTACATTTAACTCTCAACATAGTAGAAATGACATTGGAAGTCAGCACTAGCAAGACATGCACTTGAGTTTATTTAACAATGAGAGGAATGATCTCTTATATTTGCAGATAACATTTTTGTTCACAAAAAAGTTTTCCCAAATAAGTTTCCCACACCTCAGTGAGCAACAGCTGCATGATATGGCAGCAGGGACTGCATTTAATGGCTGCCCTGAAAGCAGGGATCTCTTTTTGTCTCATCCTCTGACCAGTCATTCATTCAATTCATCTGCATCAAAAAATGCTTGAGAATTCATTGTGGACTCATGAGAGAGTCTCATCTGAAGGAACTTATTCTCGATATCATGTAAATAAAATTGTTATATGGCCTCCATCTCCTGAACACCTATTGACGAAGTAAATGAAACTAAGTTATTCCTTGTAAAACACAGACTGTACCTTATGCCACATTAAGAAAATTTGTCCCATAATTGAGACGTTATGAGGAAAATTAAGTAAGAACAAAGCTGGGAATTGAGAAAGTGTGCAATGGGCATGTAAGACTTGGCACAATCCATTATCTCTATGAGAAGGAAGGGAATGAAACAACCTTCTGCAGTTTTTGAGGATAATATGAACCATCTAAAGAAACGAAAAACTTGTGTTTTCAGGGAAATCAACATAATGTAAGAAAGGAGCAAAGTAGAACTTCTGCATTCATAGAAGTCATGAAAGGGGGAAGTTCCAAGGTGGCTGAATGGGAACAGCTCCAGTCTACAGCTCCCAGCATGAGTGACGCAGAAGATGGTTGATTTCTGCATTTCCAACTGAGGTACCGGGTTCATCTCACTGGGGCTTGTTGGACAGTGGGTGCAGGACAGTGGGTGCAGCCCACTGAGCATGAGCCAAAGCAGGGCGAGGCATTGCCTCACCCAGGAATTGCAAGGAGTCGGGGGAAGCTGTGACAGATGGCACCTGGAAAACTGGGTCACTCACACCCTAATACTGCCCTTTTCCAATGGTCTTACAAACGGCACACCAGGAGATTATGTCCCATGCCTGGCTCAGAGAGCCCACGCCCACAGAGCCTCTCTCATTGTTAGCACAGCAGTCTGAGATCGAACTGCAAGGTGGCAGTGAGGCTGGGGGAGGGGCGCCTGCCATGGCTGAGGCTTGAGTAGATAAAGTGGCCAGGAAGCTCGAACTGGGTGGAGCCCACCACAGCTCAAGGAGGCCTGCCTGCCACTGTAGACTCCACCTCTGGGGCAGGGCATAGCCAAACAAAAGGCAGCAGAAACCTCTGCAGACTTAAATGTCCCGTCTGACAGCTTTGAAGAGAGTAGTGGTTCTCCTAGCACACAGTTTGAGATCTGAGAACAGACAGACTGCCTCCTCAAGTGGGTCCCTGACCCCCAAGTAGCCTAACTGGGAGACACCCTCCAGTAGGGGCAGTCTGAGACCTCACATGGCCAGATACCCCTCTGAGATGAAGCTCCAGAGAAATGATCAGGCAGCAACATTTACTGTTCAGCAATATTCGCTGTTCTGCAGCCTCCGCTGCCGATACCCAGGCAAACAGGGTCTGGAGTGGACCTTCAGCAAACTCCAACAGACCTGCAGCTGAGGGTCCTGACTGTTAGAAGGAAAACTAACAAACAGAAAGGACATCCACACCAAAACCCCATCTGTATGTCACCATCATCAAAGACCAAAGGTAGATAAAATCACAAAGATGGGGAGAAACAGAGCAGAAAAGCTGAAAATTCTAAAAATCAGGTGCCTCTCACCTTCCAGAGGAGCACAGCTCCTTGCCAGCAACGGAACAAAGCTGGATGGAGAATGACTTTGATGAGTTGAGAGAAGAAGGCTTCAGATGAACAAACTTCTCCAAGCTAAAAGAGGAAGTTCGAACCCATTGCAAAGAAGCTAAAAACCTTGAAAAAAGATTAGACAAATGGCTAACTAAAATAACCAGTGTAGAGAAGTCCTTAAATGACCTGATGGAGCTGAAAACCATGGCATGAGAACTACGTGACGAATGCACAAGCTTCAGTAGCAAATTCAATCAACTGGAAGAAAGGGTATCAGTGATTGAAGATCACAGGAATGAAATGAAGAGAGAAGAGAAGTTTAGAGAAAAAAGAGTAAAAAGAAAGGAACAAAGCCTCCAAGAAATATGGGACTATCTGAAAAGACCAAATCTACATCTGATTGGTGTACCTGAAAGTGACGGGGAGAATGAAACCGAGTTGGAAAACACTCTGCAGGATATTATCGAGGAGAACTTCCCCAACCTAGCAAGACAGGCGAATATTCAAATTCAGGAAATACAGAGAACACCACAAAGATACTCCTCGAGAAGAGCAACTCCAAGACACATAATTGTCAGATTCACCAAAGTTGAAATGAAGGAAAAAATGTTAAGGGCAGCCAGAGAGAAACGTCGGGTTACCCACAAAGGGAAGCCCATCAGACTAACAGCAGATCTCTCGGCAGAAACTCTACAAGCCAGAAGAGAGTGGGGGCCAATATTCAACATTCTTAAAGAAAAGAATTTTCAACCCAGAATTTCATATCCAGCCAAACTAAGCTTCATAAGTGAAGGAGAAATAAAATACTTTACAGACAGGCAAATGCTGAGAGATTTTGTCACCACCAGGCCTGCCTTACAAGAGCTCCTGAAGGAAGCACTAAACATAGAAAGGAACAACTGGTACCAGCCACTGCAAAAACATGCCAAATTGTAAAGGCTGTCAATGCTAGGAAGAAACTGCATCAACTAACGAGCAAAATAACCAGCTAACATCATAATGACAGGATCAAATTCACACATAACAATATTAACCTTAAGTGTAAATGGGCTAAATGCTCCAGTTGAAAGACACAGACTGGCAAATTGGATAAAGAGTCAAGACCCATCAGTGTGCTGTATTCAGGAGACCCATCTCCCATACAGAGACACACATATGCTCAAAATAAAGGGATGGAGGAAGATCTACCAAGCAAATGGAAAAAAAAAAGGAGGGTTTGCAATTGTAGTCTGTGATAAAACTGACTTTAAATCAACAAAGATAAAAAGAGACAAAGAAGGCCATTGCATAATGGTAAAGGGATCAACTCAACAAGAATAGCTAACTATCCTAAATATATAAGCACCCAATACAGGAGCACCCAGATTCATAAAGCAAGTCCTTAGAGACCTACAAAGAGACTTAGACTCCCACACAATAATAATGGGAGAATGTAACACCCCACTGTCAACATTAGACAGATCAACGAGACAGGAAGTTAACAAGGATATCTAGAAATTGAACTCAGCTCTACGCCAAACGGACCTCATAGACATCTACAGAGCTCTCCACCCCAAATCAACAGAATATACATTCTTCTCAGCACCACATCACACTTATTCCAAAATTGACCACATAGTTGGAAGTAAAGCACTCCTCAGCAAATGTAAGAGAAGAGAAATTATAACAAACTGTCTCTCAGACAACGGTGCAATCAAACTAGAACTGAGGATTTAGAAACTCACTCAAAACCACTCAGTTACATGAAAACTGAACAACCTGCTCCTGAATGACTACTGGGTACATAACAAAATGAAGGCAGAAATAAAGATATTCTTTGAAACAAATGAGAACAAAGACACAACATACCAGAATCTCTGGGACACATTTAAAGCAGTGTGTAGAGGGAAATTTATAGCACTAAATGCCCACAAGACAAAGCAGGAAAGATCTAAAATTGACACCCTAACATCACAATTAAAAGAACTAGAGAAGCAAGAGCAATCACATTCAAAAGCTAGCAGAAGGCAAGAAATAACTAAGATCAGAGCAGAACTGAAGGAAATAGAGACATGAAAAACCCTTCAAAAAATCAATGAATCCAGTCGCTGGTTTTTTGAAAAGATCAACAAAATTGATAGACCGTTAGCAAGACTAATAAAGAAGAAAAGAGAGAAGAATCAAATAGACGCAATAAAAAATGATAAATGGGATATCACCACCAATCCCACAGAAATACAGACTACCATCAGAGAATACTATAAACACCTCTATGCAAATAAACTAGAAAATCTTGAAGAAATGAATAAAGACTAAACCAGGAAGAAGCTGAATCCCTGAATAGACCAATAACAGGCTCTGAAATTGAGGCAATAATTAATAGCCTACCAACCAAAAAAAAGTCCAGGAGCAGACGGATTCACAGCCAAATTCTACCAGAGGTACAAGGAGGAGCTGGTACCATTTCTTCTGAAACTATTATAATCAATAGAAAAAGAGGGACTCCTCCCTAACTCATTTTATGAGGCCAGCATCATCCTGATACCAAAGCCTGGCAGAGACACAACAAAAAAAGAGAATTTTCGACCAATATCCCTGATGAACATTGATGCAAAAATCCTCATTAAAATACTGGCAAACTGAATTCAGCAGCACATCAAAAAGCTGATCCAACATGATAAAGTGGGCTTCATCCCTGGGATGCAAGGCTGGTTCAACATATGCAAATCAATAAACATAATCCAGCATATAAGCAGAACCAAAGACAAAACCACGTGATATCTCAATAGATGCAGAAAAGGCCTTTGACAAAATTCAACAACTCCTCATGCTAAAAACTCTCAATAAATTAGGTATTGATGGGACGATCTCAAAATAATAAGAGCTATTTATGACAAACCCACAGCCAATATCATACTGAATGGGCAAAAACTGGAAGCATTCCCTTTGAAAACCGGCACAAGACAGGGATGCCCTCTCTCACCACTCCTATTCAACAGTGTTGGAAGTTCTGGCCAGGGCAATCAGGCAGGAGAAAGAAATAAATGGTATTCAATTAGGAAAAGAGGAAGTCAAATTGTCCCTGTTTGCAGGTGACATGATTGTATATTTAGAAAACCCCATCATCTCAGCCCAAAATCTCCTTAAGCTGATAAGCAACTTCAGCAAAGTCTCAGGATATAAAATCAAAGTGCAAAAATCACAAGCATTGTTATACACCAATAACAGACAAAGAGAGAGCCAAATCATGAAGGAACTCCCATTCACAATTGCTTCAAAGAGAATAAAATACCTAGGAATCCAACTTACAAGGGACGTGAAGGACCTCTTCAAGGAGAACTACAAACCTCTGCTCAATGAAATAAAAGAGGACACAAACAAATGGAAGAACATCCCATGCTCATGGATAGGAAGAATCAATATCATGAAAATGGCCATACTGCCCAGGGTAATTCATAGATTCAATGCCATTCCCATTAAGCTACCAATGACTTTCTTCACAGAATTGGAAAAAACTACTTTAAAGTTCATATGGAACCAAAAAAGGGCCTGCATTGCCAAGACACTCCTAAGCCAAAAGAACAAAGCTGGAGTCATCATGCTACCTAACTTAAAACTATACTAAAAGGCTATAGTAACAAAAACATCATGGTACTGGTACCAAAACAGAGGTATAGACCAATGGAACAGAACAGAGCCCTCAGAAATAATACCACACATCTACAACCATCTGATCTTTGACAAACCTGACAAAAGCAAGAAATGGGGAAAGGATTCCCTATTTAATAAATGGTGCTGGGAAAACTGGCTAGTCATACGTAGAAAGCTGAAACTGGATCCCTTCCTTACACCTTATACAAAAATTAATTTAAGATGGATTAAAGACTTAAATGTTAGACCTAAAACCATAAAAACCCTAGAAGAAAACCTAGGCAATACCATTCAGGACATAGGCATGGGCAAGGACTTCATGTCTAAAACACCAAAAGCAATGGCAATAAAAGCCAAAATTGACAAATGGGATCTAATTAAACTAAAGAACTTCTGCACAGCAAAAGAAACTACCATCAGAGTGAACAGGCAGCCTACAGAATGGGAGAAAATTTTTGAAATCTACTCATCTGACAAAGGGCAAATATCCAGAATCTACAAAGAACTCAAACAAATTTACAAGAAAAAAACAAACCATCCCATCAAAAACTGGATGAAGGATATAAACAGACACTTCTCAAAAGAAGACATTTATGCAGCCAAAAGACACATGAAAAAATGCTCATCATCACTGGCCATCAGAGAAATGCAAATCAAAACCACAATGAGATACCATCTCACACCAGTTAGAATGGCTATCATTAAAAAGTCAGGAAACAACAGGTGCTGGAGAGGATGTGGAGAAATAGGAACACTTTTACACTGTTGGTGGGACTGTAAACTAGTTTAACCATTGTGGAAGACGGTGTGGTGATTCCTCAAGGATCTACAACTAGAAATACCATTTGACCCAGCCATCCCATTACTGGGTATATACCCAAAGGATTATAAATCATGCTGCTATAAAGACACATGCACACGTATGTTTATTGCAGCACTATTCACAATAGCAAAGACTTGGAACCAACCCAAATGTCCATCAATGATAGATGGGATTAAGAAAATGTGACACATATACACCACAGAATACTATGCAGCCATAAAAAAGGATGAGTTCATGTCCTTTGTAGGGACATGGATGAAGCTGGAAACCATCATTCTCAGCAAACTATCGCAAGGACAAAAAACCAAACACCACACATTCTCAGTCATAGGTGGCAATTGAACAATGAGAACCGTTGGACGCAGGAAGGGGAACATCACACACCGGGGCCTATTATGGGGTGAGGGGAGTGGGGAGGGATAGCATTAGGAGATATATCTAATGTAAATAACGAGTTAATGGGTGCAGCACACCATTATGGTGCACGTATACATATGTAACAAACCTGCACATTGTGCACATGTACCCTAGAACTTAAAGTGAAAGAAAAAAAAAAAGAAAGAAAAAAAAAAGAAACAGAAGTCATGATAGACAGAGGTTTTTGCTTCGGGTCCTGAACTGATTCAAGCTAAGCATTCACCCACGGAAGGTTGATTGATACTGGATCTGTGAGAAATACAAAGATTGGGGACCTAGGTCACCTTCTTGGGGCCTCCTACAAGCAGGGGAGTGGTAGAAATACCTCTGATGAGCTAACAATGTAGATTTCCATGACAGATGCCACTTCTGAGACTGTGAATCTAGAATGCTCTGAAGACTTGGCTAAGAGACAACAGCCACTTACTGTCATCATCGTTCAGGGATGAAGTAAAGGAGATGAAAACTAGGACATTCTCTTTGACTAGCATCAGTTATGAAAGATGAATAAGTTCAGTAGGTCTAATGTACAGTAATATGACTATAGTTAAAAACACTTTATCATATACCTGAAATTTACTGAGAAGGTAGATCTTAAATGTTCACACCAGAAAAATAAAAAGGAAATGGTAACTAAGTGACCTAATAAATATGTTATTCACAATCAATATATATATCAGAGCATCACCTTCTATACCTGAAATGTACACAATTTTTGTTTGTCAATTATACCTCAATACAGCTAGAAAAAAACGTATTTAGTTGATCTATTTAATTATTACAAAAATATTCTTATCTTCAACATAAAACTTGGGAATTTTCTGAACAAAAAACACTAATTCTGTGTTGCCTGCTCTATGATGGGTACTGGATAAATGCTTTGTGTACATTATTATTAACTATTTAACAAACTTTCAAAATAGGTATTAATGTTCCCCTTGTAGAGATGAGAAATTTGAGGCTGAGAGAGTTAACGTATTGTCATAGATTAGTTTCTCCCAGAAGAGACTTTGAAGAAAATATTCCAGGGAAACTAGTTTACTGAGAAGTGCAGATCACACCGGTAGGGACTGGGGAAGTGATACAGAAGAAGGCACACTATTAAGTCAGTATCACAGTCACCAACTAAAGCTTAAACTAAAGGGAAAACTATCAGAAATGATGAAAAACACACAGCTAGAATTACCCTACTTCAGGAATGAGGAAGCTAAAGTCTTTATAAATCAGCTCTCCAGAATCATTGGTTGAGTGTTTTTCTCTGTGTTGCATTCACAGGTGGCATGACTTTCTACAGCTGCAATACAAGAGCCCTTAGGCACAGAGATGCAGATTTTGACAGATGGAAATTGATCCAAGCACAGTAACATCCAAGATATATGGGTGCAGTCATGAAAACTTGTCTACAATCTACAATTAGCTCCACTCAAGTCAAATATTTGCTACTTAAATAGGATGGGCAGCCACAACCTCTAGGAGAAGGAAGAAGAGGAAGAGAGGAAGCAGAGGAAGAGAAGGGACAGAAGATGAGAGGAGAAGGAAAGAGAAAAGAAGGAAAGAAAAACAGAAAGACAGAGAGAAGGAAGGAAGGAAAGAAGGAAGGAAGGAAGGACAGGAAGGAGGGAGGGAGGGAAAGGAGGGAGCGGGGAGGAACTGAGGGAGGGGAAGGAAGGAAGGAAGGAAAAAAGAAAGAAAGAAAGATAAAAAGAAAGAAAGAAAGAGAAAGAAAGAAAGAGAGAGAAAGGGAGAGAGAAGGGAAGGGAAGGGAGGGAGGAAGGGAGGAAAAAAGGAAGGAAGGAAGGAAAAGAAAGAAAGAAAAGAAAGAAAGAAAGAAAGAAAGAAGAAAGAGGAAGGAAAGGAAAAGAAAGGAGAGGAAGTGAGATATAAAACGAAGGCCAATTAAATAATCTACACTTACTTCTGCTATAATACAGTGCACCTAAGTTTCATAAACTCCGTTAATTACCAAGAGTTCTATTCTCCCTTCACCCCTGGCCAGCACTCTTGTTGGTCTAGATAACTGCTGATAGAGTAGCTCAGAGCATCCTTCCTGAAGGGTCTGAGCCCCTGGTTACTATACCATTGTCCACCGTGATTGTTGTTTTTACTCATTTGTGGTTATCACTAGGCATGGACACACTGTGAGATTCTGCAGTGTTATGGGTTCATTTGCGTCCCTCAAAATTCATATTCAAATAGAATCATCTAAAGTGTTATCTGATAAGACAAGGTCATATTGGAAACAATTAGGCCTCTGATTAAATATGACTGTGTCTATTCACAAGGGAGAAATTCAGAGACAGTATGGATATAATAGAAAAATTATGTCAAACACACTTGGAGATGATAGACTTTGACACGTCAGGGAGAGAGACGTGGAACAGATACTTCCCTCGCAGTCTTCAGATGAAAACAACATTGCCAACACCTTAATTTCAGAAAAGAGGCCTTCAGAACTTTGATAAATAAATTTAAGCCACTTTTTTTCAGTAATTCATCAGGGCAGTGCTAGTAAATTAATATACTCAGTAAATCTCCTGAGCTATAGATATATTCTGCTACACTATATGGCTTGAGGGTAATTATCCCTCACCAAATAGTAACTACTTTCTCTGTCTGCTGCTTTGCTTATATGAAGAGTCCAAAATGACTAGGCGATAAAGATTACTTTTGTTTATGCCAAAGAAATAGAGAAGCAAATACTATACTTTTTATTCACATGAAAACTTTAAAAAACCAAAAATTACCTACAGGATTACAACTGATAGAGTGATTAGCTGTCTTTGGGAATGAGTAAGAGCATATAATTGGGAGAGAATGGAATTAATTTCTATTTCCTAACATAGATGTAATGGGGACACAGATGTATTTACAATATAATACTATATCAAGTTGAAAATTAATAATTTGCATTCTTCTCAAATGAATGGTATACCTAGAAAATGTTTTAAACATGTTAGAACTCCATGATGAATCAGGCATCATCTCAACTCATCTAATTCCTTCATTAAAAAGAAATAGAGAGAGAGAGAGAAGACATGCTGCTTACTGTGCTAGTAACCGGGTTGCGACTAGAGCCACAGCACATGCTGGTTGGCCTGAATCTCAAGCATTTATGCCATAGAGAGTCCTACATTCTCATTCTGGAATCGCCACGCTCACAGACAAGTCAGAATGAATGGTCACTCAGGGCATAGATTACTTGATGCTGTCTAAATCCCAGTGGATTTATCTGCATCCACCTGCTCTCGATCTGCTCTGCCACATGGAACACACTGTGACAAACACCCTCTTCCCAAGTGATGTTCAAAGAACTGAAAGACAGGTGGTGTGGGTTGCACAGAGAGATGCCTGCTAGTCTTGAGTCAGAATTTGGTGGGTGACTAGTCTTGGGCCCAGGCATGGATTCATTTTGTCACTGTAAATATATCAGCATCATGCTTCTCCCCACAGACACTTCCCAGTCTACATACAGCCAAACATGAGGCTGGCCAGAGAGAACTTCCTGAGCCTCCCAGATCAACAGGAACTATCACATGACCAGATGATGGTCAGAACAGGAATGATGCTGATGATGAGATTGCCTTCCTTTTATCTGAAACAAAGTGTCTATGAGTAATTCACAATTAAGAAACAGATTAAACCTTAATCTGTTTAACCTTAAGGAAACAACTACCCTTTGAGAATCACAAACGGACTGGGAAAACAATGTAAACGGAAACAAGGAAAAGTCCTGCTGATTGGTGGAAACTTTGGAGGCCAGGTGTATAAAAGGTCCAGATTGCAAGGGGTCATCAGATTCTGGGAAACTCACCTCTGAACAGAAGCCCACCCTCTACCCCTGACACCATGACCCACTGTTGCTCCCCTTGCTGTCAGCCTACATGCTGCAGGACCACCTGCTGCAGGACCACCTGCTGGAAGCCCACCACTGTGACCACCTGCAGCAGCACACCCTGCTGCCAGCCCTCCTGCTGTGTTTCCAGCTGCTGCCAGCCTTGCTGCCGCCCAACTTGCTGTCAAAACACCTGCTGCCAGCCCACCTGTGTGACCAGCTGCTGCCAGCCTTCCTGCTGCAGCACACCCTGCTGCCAGCCCACCTGCTGTGGGTCCAGCTGTGACCAGAGCAGCTCCTGTGCACCTGTGTACTGCAGAAGAACCTGCTACTACCCCACAACTGTCTGCCTGCCTGGTTGCCTAAACCAGAGCTGTGGCTCCAACTGCTGCCAGCCCTGCTGCCGCCCAGCCTGCTGTGAGACCACTTGCTTCCAGCCCACCTGTGTGTCCAGCTGCTGTCAGCCTTTTTGCTGCTGATCAAGTCCCAAGAGAACCACCATCCTCACACAACAACTTTCTGCTCAACTGACTTATCTTTTGGGGGACTAATTTAATTTGCTGCTGACAGCCACCATGCTCTCACCCAAATTTTTATGAATTCTCTACCTGTTTAAAATCTTGGGAATCTGCTTGAGGGAGGGCAGAATACTTCATCCTGATTCTCTTTTTCCTTACACTTTGTGGATCATGTGCCAGCTTCGTGTGTTCTCAATTTTGAGTCATGGTCTCAGCTTTGACTCAAAAGTCAAGAGCTTCATTCTCTGCTTCTAAGGAATTTAGGTTTCTGCAACTGATCAATAATCTTTGCAATCATATTTTTGTTTTCAATATCCTCCTCATGGTTCTTGTATCCTTCTTTCTTCTTTTCATAACTTTGGGTTATGTTTCTGCTACCAGCAGAGATTCTTAGCTATATGTTTCTGAATAAACTCTGAACCATCCTCATCTCATATGGTGTTTTGTTTTATATGAAAGCATTCCTGATATGAGATTTACACACATATCACATACCATAGGTATTATCCAATTTGATTCTCAAAACAGATGGTCGTGTGTTATTACCTCCATTTTTTCAGCTGAGAACAATTTAATGTGTGATGTTATGTAGCTAGTAAAGGGCAGACTCTTGTCCAAGCTGAGGTCCTCTCTTTCTGCCCAAGGACACTTACATTTAACTCTCAATATAGTAGAAATGACATTGGAAGTAAGTATTAGCAAGTCATATACTTGAGTTTTTTTAACAATAGGACAAATAATCTCTTATATTTGCAGATAACGTTTTTGTTTACAAAAAATTCCCAATTTCCCACACCTCAGTGAGAAACAGCTGCGTGATATGGCAGCAGGGACTGCATTTAATGGCTGCCCTGAATGCAGGGATCTCTTTTTGTCTCAGCCTCTGACCAGCCACTCATTCAATTCATCTACATCAAAAAAAGCTTGGGAATTTATTGTGGACTCATGAGAGAGAGTCTCATCTGAAGAAACTTGTTGTCAATATCATGTAAATAAAATACTTATACAGCCTTCATCTCCTGAATACCTATTGATGAAGTAAATGAAACTAAGTTATTTCTTGTAAAATGCAGACCATACATTTTGCCACATTAAGACAATTTGTCCCCTAATTGTAATGTTATGAGGGAAATTATGTAAGAACAAAGCTGAGAATTGAGAAACTACACAATGGGCATGTAAGACTTGGCACAATCCATAATCTCTGAGCCAAGTAAGGGAATGAAACAGCCTTCTGCATTTTGTGAGGCCAATAGGAAGCATTCAAAGAAATGAAAAACTTGTGTTTCCAGGGAAATCAGAAGAATGTAAGAAAGGAGCAAAGTAGAACTTGTGCATTCATAGAAGTCATAATAGACAGAGGTTAGTGCTTTGGGTCCTGAACCGATGTAAGCTAAGCATTCACCCATGGAAAGATTGATTGATACAGGCTCTGAGAGAAATATAAAAGTTGGGGACCTGGGTCACCTTCTTCGGACCTCCTACCAGCACTGGAGTGCTAGAATTACCTCTGATCAGCTAAAAATGTAGATTTCCATGACAGATGCCAACTTCTGAGACTGTGAATCTAGAATGCTCTGAAGACTTGGCTAAGAGACAACGGCCACTTACTGTGATCATCGTTCAGGGTTGAAGTAAAGGAGATGAAAACTAGGACATTCTCTTTGACTAGCATCATTTATGAAAGATGAATAAGTTCAGCATGTCTACTGTACAGTAATGTGACTATAGTTAATAACACTTTATCATATACCTGAAATTTACCAAGAAGGTAGATCTTAAATGTTCACACCACAAAAATTAAAAGGAAATGGTAGCTTCGTGACCTAATAAACATATTATTCACAAGGAATATATATATCAGAACATCACCTTGTATACCTGAAATAGATACAACTTTTATTTGTCAATTATACCTCAATACAGCTAGGAAAAAAAGTATTTAGTTGATCTAGTTAATTATTACAAAAATATTCCTATCTTCAACATTAAAATTGGTAATTTTCTGAACAAGAAACACTAATATGTTCTGGATTGCCTGCTATAGGATGGGTATTTGCTAAACACTTTGTGTACATTATTATTAACTCTTTAACAAACTTTCAGAATAGGTATTAATATTCCCAGCGTAGAGATAAGAAAATTGAGGCTGAGGGAGTTAACATAATGTCATAGATTAGTTTCTCCCGAAAAGACTTTGAAGAAAAGATTCCAGTGAAACTAGTTTACTGGGAAGTGCAGATCACACCGGTAGGAATTGGGGAAGTGATACAGAAAAGGGTACACTATAAAGTCAGTATCACAGTCACCAACTAAAGCTTAAACTAAAGGGAAAACTATCAGAAATGATGAAAAACACACAGCTAGAATTATCCTACTTCAGGAATGAGGAAGCTAGAGTCTTTATAAATCAGCTCTCCAGAATCATTGGTTGAGTGTTTTTCTCTGTGTTGCATTCACAGGTGGCATGACTTTCTACAGCTGCAATACAAGAGCCCTTGGCCACAGAGATGCGGACTCTGACAGATGGAAATTAATCCAAGCACACTAACATGCAAGATATATGGGCGCACTTACGAAAACTTGTCTGAGATCTACAATTAGCTCCACTCAAGTCAAATCTTTGCTGTTTAAATGTGATGGAGAGCCACAAGCTCTAAAAGAAGGAAGAAGCAGAGGAGAGGAAGAGAAGGAACAGAAGATGAGAGGAGGAAAGAGAAAAGAAACAAAAAAGAAAAAGAGAAGGGAGGAAGAAAGGAAGGAAAAGGAAAGGGAAGGGAAGGGATAAAGGAACCAAAAAAAAACATGAAGGAAGGAAGGAGAAGGGGTGATTGAAGAAAAAGAAAGAAAGAAAAATGAAGAAGGAAACGAAAAGCTGGGGGAGGAAGTGAGATATAAAATGAAGGCCAATGAAATAAGCTACACTTACTGCTGCTATAATACAGTGCACCTGAGATTCATAAGCTCCATTAATTACCACCAGTCCTATTCTCCCTTCACCCCTGGCCAGCACTCTTGTTTGTCTAGATAACTGCCTGAGGGAGTAGCTCAGAGCATCCTTCCTGAAGGGTCTGAGCCCCTGGTTACTATACCACTGTCCGCTGTGATTACTGTTTTTACTGTTTTGTGGTTATCACTGGGCATGGACACACTATGAGATTCTGCAGTGTTATGGGTTAATTTGTGTCCTCCAAAATTCATGTTCAAATAGAATCATTTAAAATGTTATGTGATAAGAAAAGGTCATATCGGAAACAATTAGGCTTCTGATTAAATATGACTGATATCTATACACAAGGGGGAAATTCAGAGACAGTATGCATATAGTAGAAAACTTATGTCAAACACACATGGAAATGATAGACATCTACAAGTCAAGGAGAGAGACCTGGAACAGATACTTCCCTCGCAGGCTTCAGATGAAAACAACATTGCCAACAGCTTAATTCCAGACTAGAGGCCTTTGGAACTGTGAAAAAATAAATTTAAGCCACTTGGTTTGCAGTAATTTACCATGGCACTGCTAGTAAGTTAATATACTCAGTAAATCACCTGAGCTATAGATACATTCTCCTACACTATGTGGCTTGAGGATAATTACCCCTCACCAAATAGTAACTCCTTTCTCTGTCTGCTGCTCTCCTGACATGAAGAGTCCAAAGTGACTATGCAATAACGATTACTTTTGATTATGCTAAAGAAATAGAGAAGCAAATACTGTAATTTTTATTTACATGAATATTTTTTAAAGCCAAAAGTTAGCTATAGGATTACAACTTGACAGAGTGATTAGCTGTCTTTGGGAATGAGTAAGAGGATATAATTGGGAGAGAATGGGATTAATTTCTATTTTCTAACATAGATGTAATGGGGACATAGATGTATTTACAATATAATAATGTATCAAGTTGGAAATTAATAATTTGCATTCCTCTGAAATGAATGGTAATTCCTAGAAAATGTTTTAAACATGTTAGAACTCCACGATGAATCAGGTGTCATCTCAACTCATCTAATTAATTCATTAAATAGAAGGAGAGGCTGTGGATGGTGGCTCATGCCTGTAATATCAGCACTTTGGGAGGCCGAGGCAGGCAGCTCACAAGGTCAGGAGTTCGAGACCAGCCTGACAAATATGGTGAAACCCTCTCTCTACTAAAAATACAAAAATTAGCCGGGCATGGTGGCCGGCATCTGTAGTGGCAGCTACTCGGGAGGCTGAGGCAGGTGAATCCCCTGAATCGAGGAATCAGACGTTGCAGTGAGCCGAGATCACGCCACTGCACTCCAGTCTAGGCGACAGAGAAAGACTCCGTCTAAGAAAGAAAGAGAAGAAATGATACTGACTGTGCTAGTAACCAGGGTTATGGCTAGAGCCACAGCTTATGCACGTTGGCCTGAATCTCAAGCAGTTATGTCATAGAAAGTTCTACATTCTCATCCCGGTAATCCCCACACTCGCAGACAAGTGAGAATGAATGCTCACCCCTGGGCGTAGATTGCTTGATGCTGTCTAAATCCCAGTGGATTTCTCTGCATCCACCTGCTCTCGATCGGCTCTGCCACATGGAACACACTGTGACAGACACCCTCTTCCCAAGTGACGTTCAAATAACTGAAAGACACAGGTGGTGAGGATTGCACAGAGATGCCTGTTAGTCTTGAGTCAGAATTTGGTGGGTGAATTGTCTTGGGCCCAGGCATGGATTCATTTTGTCACCGTAAATATATCAGCATCATGCTTCTCCCCACAGACACTTCCCAGTCTACATACAGCCAACTGTGAGGCTGGGCAGAGAGAATTTCCTGAGCTTCCCAGATCACCAAGAACTATCACATGACTAGATGATGGTCAGAGCAGGAATGATGCTGATGATGAGATGGGCTTCCTTTTATCTGAAAGGAAGTTTCTATGAGTAATTCACAATTAAGAAACAGATTAAACCCTTACTTTCAAAAGATTCATAAGTTTTCAGAAACAATTTCCCCTTTGACAATCCCAAAGGGACTGTGGAAAACAGTGTAAACAGCAACAAGGAAAAGTCCTGCTGATTGGTGGAAACTTTGGAAGCCAGGTGTATAAAAGGTCCAGATTGCAAGGGGTCATCAGATTCTGGGAAACTCACCTCTGAACAGAAACCCACCCTCCACCCCTGACACCATGACCCACTGTTGCTCCCCTTGCTGTCAGCCTACCTGCTGCAGGACCACCTGCTGGAAGCCCACCACTGTGACCACCTGCAGCAGCACACCCTGCTGCCAGCCCTCCTGCTGTGTGTCTAGCTGCTGCCAGCCTTGCTGCCGCCCAGCTTGCTGTCAAAACACCTGCTGCAGGACCACCTGCTGCCAGCCCACCTGTCTGACCAGCTGCTGCCAGCCTTCCTGCTGCAGCACAACCTGCTGCCAGCCCATCTGCTGTGGGTCCAGCTGCTGTGGCCAAACCAGCTGTGGGTCCAGCTGTGGCCAGAGCAGCTCCTGTGCACCTGTGTACTGCAGAAGAACCTGCTACTACCCGACGACTGTCTGCCTGCCTGGTTGCCTCAACCAGAGCTGTGGATCCAGCTGCTGCCAGCCCTGCTGCCGCCCCGCCTGCTGTGAGACCACCTGCTGCAGGACCACTTGCTTCCAGCCCACCTGTGTGTCCAGCTGCTGCCAGCCTTCTTGCTGCTGATCAAGTCCCAAGAGAACAACCATCTTCACACAA
Source organism: Homo sapiens (assembly GCF_000001405.40). Classification (NCBI taxonomy): domain Eukaryota; kingdom Metazoa; phylum Chordata; class Mammalia; order Primates; family Hominidae; genus Homo; species Homo sapiens. Next base: position 51,181 of record NW_003871093.1, on the reverse strand, counting down.
CAACCTTCTGCTCAACTGACTTATCTTTTGGAGGACTAATTTACCTTACTGCTGACAGCAACCATGTTCTCACCCAAATTTTTATGAATTCTCTGCATATTTAAAATCTTGTGAATCAGCTTGAGGGAGGGCAGAATACTTCATCCTGATTCTCTTTTTCTTATACCTTGTGAATCATGTGCCAGCTTCATGTGTTCTCAATTTTGAGTCATGGTCTCAGCTTTGACTCAAAAGTCAAGAGCTTCATTCTCTTCACTTAAGAAACTTAAGTTGCTGCAAATGATTAAGAATCTTCACAACTATGTTTTCTTTTCAATATACTCATGATTCTTGTATCCTGCTTCCTTCTTTTAATGATCACTTTGGGTTATCTCCCTATAACCAGGGATCTTACATATATATTTCTTAATAAATAAATTTGGAACTATTATTCATACCATATGGTGATTTGTTTTATTTGAAAACATTCCTGATATGGGATTTACACATATATCACATACCATATGTATTACCCAATTTGATTCTCAAAACAGACAGTCATGTATTATTGCCTCCATTTTCCAACTGGGAAAGTTTTAATGTGTGATGTTATGTAGCTAATAGTGGACAGACTCTGATGCAAGGTTGCGTCTTCTCTTTCTGTCCAAAGACACTTACATTTAACTCTCAATAAAGTAGTAATGACATTGGGATTCAGCACTAGCAAGTTATGCACTTGAGTTTATTTAACAATGGAAATAATAATCTCTAGTATTTGGCAAGAGATAACATTTCAGTTCACAAAAGTCTTCCCAAATTAATTGCCCAGCCGTCAGTGAGCAACAGCTACATGATACAGCAGCAGGGTCTGCATTTAGCAGCTGTCATGAATGCAGGGATCCTATTGGCCTATACCAGCCAATCATTCAATTCACGTGCATCAAAGAAATTTTTTAACCTTTTTTTAAGGTTCAGGGGTACGTGTGCCGGGTTATTTTATAGTTAAATTGTGTGTTGCAGGGTTTGGTGTACAGATTAGTTCTTCACCCAGGTAATAAGCATAATACCTGATAGGCAGTTTTTTGATTCTCATTCTCCTCCCACAGTCCACCCACAGGTAAGTTCCAGTGTCTGTTGTTCCCTTCTTTGTGTTCATATGTATTCAATGTTTGGCCCCCACTCTTATGTGAGAACATGTGTTATTTGGTTTTCTGTTCCTGTGTTAGTTCCCTTGGGATAATGGCCTCCGGCTCCATCTGTGTTGCTGCAAAGGACATCATCTTGTTCTTTTTTTCCTTTTTTTTCTGTATAGTATTCCATGGTGTATATGAAACACATTTTCTTTATCCAGTCTACTTTTGATGTACATTTTAAGTTGACTCTATGTCTTTGCTATTGTGAGTAGTGCTGCAATGAACATACGCATGCATGTGTCTTTATGGTAGAACAATTTATATGCATTTGGGTATATACCCAATAATTGAATTGCTGGGTCAAATATTAATTCTAAGTTCTTTGAGAGATCCCAAAACTGCTTTCCATAATGGTTAAACTAATGTGCAATTCCACCAACAGTGTATAAGTGTTTCTTTTTCTACAAAAACTTGCCAGCATCTTTTATTTTTTGACTTTAATAAGAGCTATTCTGACTTGTGTCAGAGGGCATCTCATTGTGGTTTTAACTTGCATTTCTCTAATCATCAGTGATGTTGATCATTTGTTCATATCCTTTTTGGCCGCTTGAATGTCTTCTTTTGAAAAGTGTCTGTTCGTGTCCTTTGACCACTTTCTAATGAGATTGTTTGGTTTTTGCTTGTAAATTTGTTTAACTTCCTTACAGATTCTGGATATTAGACCTTTGTTGGATAGATAGCTTGCAAATATTCTCTCCCATTCTGTAGGTTGTCTGTTTACTCTGTTGATAGTTTCTTTTGCTGTGCAGAAGCTCTTAAGTTTAATTAGGTCCCATTTGTCAATTTTTTCTCTTTTTACAATTACTTTTGGTGACTTCATCATAAAATCCTTGCCTGGTCCTATGTTTAGAATGGTATTGCCTAGGTTGTCTGCCAGCGTTTTTATAGCCTTAGGTTTTACATGTAAGTTTTTGATCCATCTTGAGTTGATTTTTGTATACCATGTAAGGAAGGGGTCCAGTTTCAATCTTCTGCAAATGACTAGCCAGTTATCTCAGCACCATTTATTAAATCAGGAGTCTTTTCCCCACTGCCTATTTTCATCAACTTTGCTGAAGATCACATGTTGTAGGTGTGCAACATTATTTCTGGGCTCTGTATTCTGTTCCATTGGTCTGTGTGTCTGTTTTTGTACCAGTACCATGCGGTTTTGGTTATTGCAGCCTGTAATGTAGTTTGAAGTCAGATAATGTGATGTCTTCAGCTTTGTTATTTTTGCTTAGGATTGCCTTGGCCATTCAGGCTCTTTTTTGGTTCCATATGAATTGTAAAACATTTTTTTTCTCATTCTGTGAAGGCTGTCATTGGTAGTTTGATAGGAGTGATACTGAATCTGTAAATTGCTTTAGGGAGTATGGCCATTTTAACAATATTGATTCTTTCTACCCATGAGCATAAAATATGTTTCAATTTGTTTGTGTCATCTTTAATTTCTTTGAGCAGTGTTTTGCAATTCTTGTTGCAGAGATCTTTCACCTCCCTGGTTGGCTGTATTCCTAGGTATTTTGTTGTTTTTTGTGGCTATTGTGAAAAGGATTACATTATTGATTTGGCTCTCAACTTGGATGTTGTTGGTGTATAGGAATGCTACTGATTTTTGTACAATAATTTTGTATCCTGAAACTTTGCTGAAGTTGCTAATCAGATCAAGGAGTTTTTGGGTAGAGACAATGAGGTTTTCTGGGTGTAAAATCTTCTTCACACACAGAGATAGTTTAACTTCCACTTTTCCTATCTAGATACCTTTACTTTATTTCTCTTGCCATATTTCTCTGGCTAGGACTTTCATTACTATTTTGAATAGGAGTGGTGAGATATGGCATGTTTGCCTTGTTCTGGTTTTCAAGAGGACACATCAAAAACTTTTCAGAATGCATCATATCCTCATTTGAAGAGACTAATTCCTTCGTATCAAATAAATCAAATTCATATCTGGCCTCCTGCTGAAATTTCATTGAAAGAGCAAAATGGAATTAAGTAATTCCATGTAAAATACAGACCATACCTTATGCAACATTTAGACAATTTGACTTCCTGATAAAAATGTTATCAGGAAAATTAAGTAAGGACAAAGTTTAGGATTGAGACACTATGCAACAGGCACATATGACTTTGCATAATCCATAATCTCTGAGTTATCTAATGGGTTAAAACAATCTTCTATGCTTTATGAGGCCAAAATTAAGCATCTAAAGGAAATAAACATTTGTGTTTTCAGGGAAATCAGAAGAATGTAAGACGGACTGAAAGTAGAAAAATGTGTACATTCATAGAAGTCATGATAGGCAGATGGCTGGTGCTTTTGGCCCTGAACTGATGATGCAACCCAAGCATTCACTAATGGAAGGACTGATTTATACTGGCTCTGAGAGAAATAGAAAAGTCTGGGACCTGGATTACCTTTGTGGGACCTCCTACCAGCATGGGAGTGCTAGAAATACCTCTGATGAGCTAACGATGTAGACTTCCAGGACGGATCCCAACTTCTGAGACTGTGTACCTAGAGTGCTTTGGAGACTTGGCTAAGAGACAAAATCCATTGACTGTGATTCTTCTGGGGTGACAGGGTAAAGGAGATGAAGACCTAAAACATTCACTTTGGCCAAGATCAGGTATGCAAGGTAAATAAGCTCTGCAGACCTAGTGTACAGTAGTGTGGCTGTAGGTAAAAATATTTTATTTTATACCTGAAATGGCAAGTATGTGAGCTAATGAATATGTGAATTAGCTTCACTGTGATGAATATCTCACTATAAATATATATATCAAAACATCACTTTTTATACCTTAAATATATACAATTTTTATTCAATTATACCTCAGTAAAGTTAGTAAAAACCAAATCTAGCAGCACATCAAAAAGCTTATCCACCATGATCAAATTGCTTCATCCCTGGGATGCAAGGCTGGTTCAACATATGCAAATCAATAAACATAATCCATCACATAAACAGAACCAATGATAAAAACCACATGATTATCTCAATAGATGCAGAAAAGGCCTTCGATAAAATTCAACATCCTTCATCTTAAAAACTCTCAATAAACTAGGTATTGATGGAACATATCTCAAAATAATAAGAGCTATTTTTGACAAACCCATAGCCAATATTATACTGAATGGGCAAAAGCTGGAAGCATTCCCTTTGAAAATGGCACAAGACAAGAACGCCCTCTCTCACCACTCCTATTCAACATAGTATTGGAAGTTCTGGCCAGGACAATCAGGCAAAAGAAAGAAATAAAGGCATTCAGATAGGAAGAGAGGAAGTCAAATTGTCTTTGTTTGCAGATGACGTGATTCTATATTTAGAAAACCTCAGTGTCTCATCCTAAAAACTCCTTAAGCTGATAAGCAACTTTAACAAAGTCTCAAGATACAAAATCAATGACAAAAATCACAAGCATTCTTATACACCGATAATAGACAAGCAGAGAGCCAAATCATGAGTGAACTCCCATTCACAATTGCAACAAAGAGAATAAAATACCTAGGAATACAACTTACAAGGGATGTGAAGGACCTCTTCAAGGGAAACTACAAACCACTGCTCAAGGAAATAAGAGGGGACACAAACAAATTGAAAATCATTACATGATCATGGATAGAAAGAATCAATATCATGAAAACGGCCATGCTGCCCGAAGTAATTTATAGATTAAATGCTATTCCCATCAAGCTACCCTTGACTTTCTTCACAAAATTTAAAAAAAAACTACTTTAAATTTCATATGGAACCAAAAAAGAGCCCGTATCACCAAAACAATCCCAAACAAAAGAACAAAGCTGGAGGCATCACGCTACCTGACTTCAAACTATACTACAAGGCAACTGTAACCACAACAGCATGGTACTGGTATCAAAACAGATATATAGACCAATGGAACAGAACTGAGACCTCAGAAATAACACCACACATCTACAACCATCTGATCTTTGACAAACCTGACAAAAACAAGCAATGGGGAAAAGATTCCCTATTTAATAAATGGGGCTGGGAAAACTGGCTAGCCACATGCAGAAAACTGAAAGTGGACCCCTTCATTACACCTTATACAAAAGTTAACTCAAGATGGATTAAAGACTTAAATGTGAAACCCAAAATCATAAAAACCCTAGAAGAAAACCTAGGCAATAACTTTCAGGACATAGACATGGGCAAAGACTTCATGACAAAAATGCCAAAAACTATCACAACAAAAGCCAAAATTGACAAATGGGATCTAATTAAACTAAATAGCTCCTGCACAGCAAAATAAACTATCATCAGAGAGAACACACAACCTACAGAATGGGTGAGAATTTTTGCAATCTACCCATCTGACAAAGGTCTAAAATCCAGAATCTACAAGGAACTTAAACAAGTTTACAAGAAAAACAAACAACCTCATCAAAAAGTGGGCAAAGGATATGAACAGACACTTCTCAAAAGAAGACTTTTATGTGGCCAACAAACATATGAAAAAAAGCTCATCATCATTGATCATTAGAGAAATGCAAATCAAAACCACATTGAGATACCATCTCATGCCAGTCATAATGGTGATTATTAAAAAGTCAGGAAACAATAGATGCTGGAGAGGCTGTGGAGAAATAGGAATGCTTTTACACTGTTGGTGGGATAGTGAATTAGTTCAACCACTGTGTAAGACAGTGTGGCAATTCCTCAAGGATCTAGAACCAGAAAAACCATTTGACTCAGCAATCCTATTACCGGGTATATACTCAAAGGAATATAAATGATTCTACTATAAAAACACATGCACATATATGTTTATTGCAGCAGTATTTACAATAGCAAAGACTTGGAACCAACCCAAATGCCCATCAGTGATAGACTGGATAAAGAAAATGTGGCACATATAAACCATGGAATCCTATGCAGCCATAAAAAACAATGAGTTCATATCCTTTGCAGGGACATGGAAGAAGCTGGAAGCCATCATTCTCAGCAAAGTAACACAGGAGCAGAAAACCAAACACCACATGATCTCACTCATAAGTGGGAGTTGATCAACCAGAACACACAGACACAGGGAGGGGAACATCACACACCAGGGCCTGTTGGGGGGGTCGGGGGCAAGGGGAGGGAGAGCATTAGGACAAATACCTAATGCATGCAGGGCTTAAGACCTAGAGGACAGGTTGATAGGTGCAGCAAACAATCATGGCACATGTATACCTACTCAACAAACCTGCACATTCTGCACATGTGTCCTGGAACTTAAAGTAAAAGAAAAAAAGTTGATCTAGTTAATTATTATAAATATATTCTTATCATCAACATTAAAATTAGTTTAGGAATTTCTGGAGAGAAAAGAAATAATATGTTTTCAGTTGCCTATCATTTGATGGATATTGTGTAAATCTTTTATGTACATTATCATTAATTATTGAAAAAACTTTCAAAGTAGGCATTAGTGTTCTAATTGTAGAGATGAGGAAATTGAGGCTGAGAGATGTAATGTCATAGTTTGGTTTTTCCCAGAAGATACTCTGAGAAAAAGATTCCAATGAATACAGTGTATTAGGAAGGGCAGAACAGGCCAGAAGGGATTGTGGCAGTGATACAGAAAAGGGTATACTATTAAGCCAGTATCACAGAGATCAACTGAAGCTTAAGCTAAAGGGAAATTTTTCAGAAATGATGAAAAACACACAACTTTGAATTCTCAAACTTCAGCAGTGAAGAAGCTAGAGTCTGTATAAATCCACTCTTTAGAATTTTCAGTTGAATATTTTTCTCCCTGTAGTGTGCACAGGTGACATGACTTTCTGTAGTTGCAATACAAGAGCCCTAAGGCACAGAGATGCAGATTCAGGCAGATGGAAATTGGTATGAGCACCCTAAGTTCCATGATATACAGGTATGGTAATGAAGACCTGTCTACAGTAACATTTGCTCCATTCAAGTCCAATCTTTCCTTCTTAAATGTAATGGACAGCCATGAACTCTAGGAGAAAAAGGAGGAGGAGGAAGAGGAGGAACAGAAGGTGAGAGAGGAGGAAAAAACTAGGAAAGATATGGGAAGAAGACAATATACACAGACAGGAAGAAAGGAACGGAGGAAGAAAGAGAGCAAGAGACAGAAGGAAAGAGAGTGAAAAGGAAGGAAGGAATGAAGGAAGGAAGGAAGGAAGGAAGGGGAAGGAAGGAAGGAAAAGGAAAGAAAGAAAGAAAGGGGAGGGGAGGGGTGGGGAGGGGAGGGGAAAGGAAGGGAAGGGAAGGAAGGGAAGGGAAGGGAAGGGAGGGAAGGGAAAAGAAACTACTGCTGTAATAGGGTGCTTCTGAGATTCATAATCTCCATCAGTTTCCGCCAGTTCTATACTCCCTTCATCACTGGCCAGCACTCCTGTTAGTTTAGATAATTGCCTGATGAAGTAGCTCAGAACTTCCTGCCTGATGGGTCTTACCCTCTAGTTACTTACTACACCATTGTCCAACTGTGGTTGCTTTTGTTACTCATTTGTGTTTATCAATGGGCATGGATACACTACGAGATATTCCAAGGTTATGGGTCGAATTGTGTCCCCAAGAACTCATATTCAAATAGGGTCACTTAAATGCAAGATGGTAAGATAAGGTCATATTGGAATAAATTGTGCTTCTGATTCAATGTGACTGGTGTCTGTATAAACAGGGGAAATTCAAACAGGATGCATATAGAGGGAAGATGATGTAAGAGACACATGGAGAAGATAGACATCTACAGGTCAAGGAGAGAGACCTGAAACAGATATTTCCCTCACAGCCCTCAGATGAAAACAACATTGCCAACACCTTTATTTTAGCCTTCAGAACTGTGAGAAAATAAACTTCAGCCACTTGATTTGCCATAGTTTTTAATGGCAGTGTAATGCTTTAATATATATAGTAAATTTCTTGAGTTTCAGATATATTCTCCCTACGCTCTATGGCTTCACGAAAATTATCCCTCATGGAATATTAACTCCTTTATCTACCTGCTGGTCTGCTAACATGAAGGATCCAAAATGAAATGACCAGGTTATAATTGCTGCTTTTGATTATGCCAAAAACACAGTGAAGCAAATTCTATAATTTTTATTTACATAAAAGTCAAAGAAAAAAACAAAACTGACCTACAGGATTAAAACTTGATAGAGTGACTAGCTACCTTTGGAGATAAGTAAAAAGATATAATTTGGAGGGAATGGAATTAATTTCTATTTTGTAAACTGGTAATGGGGACTTAGATGTATTTATAATGTAATATTATATCAAGTTGGAATTCATAATTTGCACTCTTCTGAAATGAATGGTATAATTTAAAAAGTTTTAAACAATGGTAAACCTCAAAGAGGAATCAGATATCATCTCAACTCACCTAATTCCCTCACTGAAAACAGAGAGACAGAGAGAGAGAGAGAGAGAGAGACAGAGACAGAGACAGAGACAGAGACAGAGACAGAGAAATGGCAATGATTGTGCCAGTAACCTGGATTAGGGCTAGAGCCACAGCTCATATTGCTTTGCCTGGACCTCAAGCAGTAATGTCACAGTAATTCCCAGTCCCACATTCTCATGCTGGTAAGCCCCTCAGTCCCAGACAAATCAGGGTGAATGGTCACCGCAGCACGTAGATTGCTTGATGCTTTGTGAATTCCAGTGAACCCCTCCTCTTTCTACGTGTTTGCTTTGGCTCTGCTCTGCCACATAGCACACATTGTGCTGAACACCCTCTTCCCAAGAGGCTTTTATAGAACTGGAAGAGACAGGTAAAGTAGGTTGTACATAGAGAGATGCCTATCAGTCTTGAATCAGACTTTGGTGGGTGAACAGTCTTGGTCCCAAGCATGGATTCAATTCACCACTGTGAATATATCAACATCATGCTTCTCCCCACAGACACTTCCCAGTCTACATACAGCCAAAGGATGAGACTGGGCAGAGAGAACTTCCTGAGCCTCCCCAGTCACCAGGAACTATCACATGACGAGATGCTGGTCAGAGCAGGAACGAAGCTGATGATGAGACTGCCTTCCTTTTATCTGAAACAAAGTTTCTACGAGTAATTTACAATTAAGAAACAGATTAAACCCTTACTTTCCAAAGATTCATAACATTTAGGAAATGACTTCCTCTTTGACAATGCCAAACTGACTATGGAAAACAACTGTAAACAGCAAGAAAGAAAAATCCTGCTGATTGGTGGAAACTTTGGAGGCCACATGTATAAAAGGTCCAGATTGCAAGGGGTCATCAAATCCTGGGAAACTCACCTCTGAACAGAAGCCCACCCTCCACCCCTGACAACATGACCCACTGTTGCTCCCCTGGCTGTCAGCCTACCTGCTGCAGGACCACTTGCTGCAGGACTACCTGCTGGCAGCCCACCATTGTGACCACCTGCAGCAGCACACCCTGCTGCCAGCCCTCCTGCTGTGTGTCCAGCTGCTGCCAGCCTTACTGCCACCCAACTTGCTGTCAAAACACCTGCTGCAGGACCACCTGCTGCCAGCCCACCTGTGTGACCAGCTGCTGCCAGCCTTCCTGCTGCAGCACACCCTGCTACCAGCCCATCTGCTGTGGGTCCAGCTGCTGTGGCCAAACCAGCTGTGGGTCCAGCTGTGGCCAGAGCAGCTCCTGTGCACCTGTGTACTGCAGAAGAACCTGCTACCACCCCACGACTGTCTGCCTGCCTGGTTGCCTCAACCAGAGCTGTGGATCCAGCTGCTGCCAGCCCTGCTACTGCCCAGCCTGCTGTGTGTCCAGCTGCTGCCAGCATTCTTGTTGCTGAGCAGCACCACAGAGGACCATCATCCTCACACAACAACCTTCTGCTCAACTGACCTTTTTTTTCTTTTGAGACGGAGCCTCACTGTCACCCAGGCTGGAGTGCAGTAGCACGCTCTCGGCTCGCTGCAACCTCCATCTTCTGGGTTCAAGTGATTCTCCTGCCTCAGCCTCCTGAGTAGCTGGGATTACATGCCTGTGCCACCACGCCTGGCTAATTTTTTGTATTTTTAGTATTTTTAGTAGTTTTCACCATGTTGATCAGACTTGTCTGGAACTCCTGCCCTCAGGTGATCCACCTGCCTCAGCCTCCCAAAGTGCTGGGATTACAGGTGTGAGCTACCACACCCAGACCCAACTCACTTATCTTTCAGAAGACAGATTTACTTTCAAACTTTACTGATACACAGTATGCTTTCACCAATTTTTTTTATTTCTTTGCCTGTTTAAAATCTTGGGAATCAGCTTGAGGGAGGGCAGAATACTTCATCCTGATTCTTTTTTCCTTACACTTTGTGGATCATGTGCCAGCTTCATGTGTTCTCAATGTGGAGACATGGTCTCCATTCGACTCTAAAGTCAAGAGCTTCATTCTCTCCTTCTAAGAAACTTAGGTTTCTGCAACTGATCAATAATCTTTGCAATCATATTTTTGTTTTCAATTTTGTCCTCATGTTTCTTTTACCCTTCTTTCTTCTTTTCATTGTAACTTTGGGCTATGTCCCTAGTAGCAGGGATTCTTACCTATATATTTCTGAATAAATTCTGAACCATCCTTCATCTCATATGGTGTTTTATTTTACAGAATTGCTGATATGAGATTTACACACATATTGCATGCTATATGTATTATCCAATTTGATTCTGAAAACAGAGTTATTATTATGTATTATTACCTCAATTTTTCAGCTGAGAACAATTTAGTGTGTGATTTTATGTAGCTAATAAAGGACAGACTCTAGTCCAAGGTGAGAGCTTCTCTTTCTGCCCAAGAACACTTACATTTAACTCTCGGTAAAGTAGAAATGATATTGAGACTCAGCAATAGCAAGACATGCACTTGAGTTTATTTAATGTGGGAGGTATAATCTCTCATATTTGCAGACGACATTTCTGTTCACAAAGGTCTTCCCAAATTAGTTTTCCACACCTCAGTGAGTAATAGCTACATGGGATGACAACAGGGACGGCATTTAATAGCTGCCCTGAGTGAGGATCCCTTTTTGTCTCAGTCTTTGACCAGCTATTTATTCAATTAATCTGCATCAGAAAATTTTGAGAATGCATTGTGTCCTCATGAGAGAGGATCTCATTTGGGGATTTTTTTCCTGGTATCACGTAAATAATATTCTTATATGGCTTCCTTCTCCTGAATACCTGTTGACAAAGCAAAAAGAATTTAAGTTATTCCTTCTAAAATATGGACCATACATTAAGCCACATTAAGTCAAATTGTCCCTCAAATCAAAATGTTATTAGGAAAATTAAGTGAAACAAATTTGGGGATTGAGGGACTATGCAATGGGCATGTATGACTTTGTACAAACCATAAAGGTATAAAACAACCTTCTGAGTTTTGTGAGGCAAATAGGAAGCATCTCAAGAAACCAAAAACCTGTGTTTCCAGGGAAATCAGAAGAATTTAAGAAGGAGGAAACGTGGAAGAACTTTCTCATTCATGGAAGTCATGATAGATGGAAAACTGGCGCTTTTGTTCCTGAACTGATGATGCAACTGAAGTATTCAGTCATGGAGGGATTCATTGATACTGGCCCTGAGAGAATTAGAAAAGTTAGGGACCTGGGCCACCTTCTTGGGACCTCCTACCGGCATGGGAGTGGTAGAAATACCTCTGAGGAGCTAACAATGTAGGTTTCCAGGACAGATACCAGCTTCTGAGGTGGTGTATCTAGAATGCTCAGAAGACTCAGCTAAGGGACAAAAGCCACTGACTGTGATAGTTGTTGCATAATGGGGTAAAGAAACTGAAGAACTATCACATTCTCTTTGACCAACATCGGTTATGCAAGATGAGTCAGTTCTGCAGATCTAGTGTACAGCAACGTGACTATAGTTAACAAAAATGCTTTATTTTATACCTGAAATGTGCTAAGAAGGTAGATCTGGAGTGTTGCTAAGAAGGTAGATCTGAAGTGTTTACACCACAAAAATAAAAAGGAAATGGTAACTATGTGAGCTAAGGAATATATGATAATTCACAATAAGTATATACATATCTCAAAACATCACCTCGTACACATTAAATATACACAATTTTATTTTTATTTATCAATTATGCCTCAATAAAGCTAGTAAAGAAAGAAGTGAGTTGATCTGGTTAATTATTATTCATGTATTCTTATCTTCAACATTAAAATTAGGAGTTCTCTGGACAAAAAAAAAACTAATATGTCCTAGGTTGCCTACTATTTAATGGGTATTGATTAAATGCTTTATGAACATTATCATTAATTCTTGAAGAAACATTCAAAGTAGGTATTAATGTTCCCATTGTAGAGATGAGAAAATTGAGTCTGAGAGAGGAAATGTAATATCAGAGTTTGGTTTTCCCATAACAAACTCCAAGAAAAATATTCCAGTGAAAGTAGTTTATTGGAAAGTGCAGATCACACCAGCAGGTATTGGAGAAGTGACACAGAAAAGGGTAGACTATTAAACTAGTATCACAGTGACCAATTAAAGCTTAAACCAAACAAAACACTATTAGAAATAATGAAAAACAAACAAATTAGAATTATCCTACTTCAGGAATGAGGAAGCTAGAGTCTTCACAAACCAGTGCTCTGGAATCATTGGTTGAGTGTTTTTCTCTGTGTGGCACGCACAGGCGACATGACTTTCTGCAGTAACAATACAAGAGCCCATAGGCACACAGATGCAGATTTGGGCAAATGCATATTGGTCTGAGCATACTAAGATCCAAGATATAGGAATGGGATAAGGAAATCCTATCTACAATCTACCATTTGCTCCACACAGACCCAATCTTTGCTTCTTAAGTGTGGTGGGCAGCCACAAACTCTAGAAGAAGGAAGAGGAGGAGGAAAGGAAGAGGAGAAAGAGGAAAAACAGAAAATGAGAGGAAGAAGAAAGATGGAAAAATGAAAGAAAGAGAGAAGAAAGGAAGGAAGGAAAGAAGGGGGGAAGGAAGAAAGGAGGGAAGGAGAGAGGGAAGGAAGAAGGAAAGGAGGGATGGAAGGAAGAAAGGAAGGAGGAAAGAAAGAAAGAAAGAGAGAGAGAGAAGGAAGGCAGGAAGGAGAGAGAGAAAAAGAAGAAAGAGAAAGAAAGAAAGAAAAAGAAAAAGAAAGAAAGAAAGAGAAAGAGAGAGAGGGAGGGAGGGAGGAAGGAAGGAAGGAAAGAAGGAAGGAAGGAAGGAGAAATTAAGAAGCAAAGAAAGGAGGGGGAGAGATATGTAAAATGAAGGCCAATGGAACAAGCAACAGTTACTGCTGCTATAATAGGGTGCACCTGACAGCCATAATCTCCATTAATTATCAAAAGTCTATAGTTCCTTCACCACTTTCCAGAACTTTTACTACTCTAGATAATTTCCGGAAGGAGTAACCCAGATGTTCCTGCCCAAAGGGTCTGAGCCACTAGTTACTGTACCACTGTCCACTGTGATTGCTGTTTTCACTCACTTGTGGTTATCTCTGGGCATGGACACAGTATGAGATTCTCCAGTGTTATGGGTTGAATGAGTCCCCCAAAATTCATATTGAAATGAGGTCATTGAAAACATAATTAGTTAAGATCAGGTCATATTGGAACAAGTTAGGCCCCTGATTCAATAGGACTGATGCCTGTATAGAATGGGGAAGTTCAGACGCCATGTGCATCTAGAAGGAAGATCATGTAAGAGACATATGGAGAAGACAGGCATTTACAAGTCAAGGAGAGACACCTGGAAGAGATGCTTTCCTAACAGTCCTCAGGTAAAAACAACCTTGTCAACACCTTAAATTCAGACTACTAGCCTTCAGAACTGTGAGAAAATAAATTTCAGCCACTTGGTTTGTAGTGGTTTATCATGGCAGTGCTAGTAAATTAACATATTCAGTAAATCTCCTGAGCTACAGATACATTCTCCTACATTCTACGCCTTCAGGATAATTACCCCTCACCAACTCTGTTCTCTGCCTTCTAATCTGCTGACATGAAGAGTGCAAAATGACTAGGCGGTAATTATTACTTGCGATTATGCGAAAGAAATAGAGAAATAAATTTTGTAATTTTTATTCACACAGAAGTAAAAAAGGAAAAGCCAAATTGACCTACAGGGTTACAACTTGATAGAGTGATTAGCGGTTTTGGGGGATGAGTAAGGAAATATAACTGAAAGGGAATGGGATTAATTTCTATTTCCTAACCTGGTAATGGGAACACAGATGTATTTACAGTTATATCAAGTTGGAAATTAATAATTTGCATTCTTCCAAAATGAATGGTATACCTAAAAAATGTTTAAATATGTTGGAACTCCAAGACAAATCAGGTATCATCTCAACTCATCTAATTCCTTCATTAAAAAGAAATAGACAGAGAGAGAAGAAATGGCCCTGATTGTGTTAGTACCAGAGTTAGGGCTAGAGCTACAGCTCATGCAGGTTTGCCTGAATCTAAAGTAGTTATGTTACAGAAAGTCCCACATTCTCATCCTGGTAAGTCCCTCACTCCCAGACAAATCAAGATGAATGGTCACCCCAGGGCAAAGATTGCCTGATGTTATCTAAATCACACTGGACTTCTCTTTGTACCCACCTGCTTTGGTTCTCTCTGACACATAAAACACATTGTACCAATCACCCTCTTCCCAAGTGACTTTGATGGAGCTGAAAGACACAGGTGGTGTGGGTTGTACAGAGAGCAATGCCTGTTAGTCTTGAATCAGACTTTGGTGGCTGAACAATCTAGGCCACAGATATGAATTCATTTAGTCATTGTGAACACATCAGCATCACGCTTCCCGCAACAGACACTTCCCAATCTACATACAACCAAAGAAGGAGGCTGGGTAGAGAGAACTTCCTGAGCCTAACCGGTCACCAGGAACTATCACATAATCAGAAGATGGTCACATCAGGAACGATGCAGATGTTGAGAGGGGCTTCCTTTTATCGAAAATAAACTTTCTATGAGTAAACTACAATTAAGCAACAGAAAATAACAGAAAACTAAGAAATTAAGCAACAGAAAATTAAATAATTTTCTTCTGAAAATTACTTTCAAAAGATTCATAACCTTTAGGAAACAACGTCCCCTTTGACAATACCACAATGACTGTGGAAAACAATGTAAACAGCAACAAGGAAAAGTCCTGCTGTTTGGTGGAAACTTTGGAGGCCAGGTGTATAAAAGGTCCAGATTGCAAGGGGTCATCAGATTCTGGGAAACTCACCTCTGAACAGAAACCCACCCTCCACCCCTGACACCATGACCCACTGCTGTTCCCCTTGCTGTCAGCCTACATGCTGCAGGACCACCTGCTGCAGGACAACCTGCTGGAAGCCCACCACTGTGACCACCTGCAGCAGCACATCCTGCTGCCAGCCCTCCTGCTGTGTGTCCAGCTGCTGCCAGCCTTGCTGCCACCCAACTTGCTGTCAAAACACCTGCTGCAGGACCACCTGCTGCCAGCCCACCTGTGTGACCAGCTGCTGCCAGCCTTCCTGCTGCAGCACACCCTGCTAACAGCCCACCTGCTGTGGGTCCAGCTGCTGTGGCCAAATCATCTGTGGGTCCAGCTGCTGCCAGCCCAGCTCCTGTGCACCCATCTACTGCAGGAGAACCTGCTACCACCCCACGAGTGTCTGCCTGCCTGGTTGCCTAAATCAGAGCTGTGGCTCCAGCTGCTGCCAGCCCTGCTGCCGCCCAGCCTGCTGTGAGACCACCTGCTGCAGGACCACTTGCTTCCAGCCCACTTCTGTGATCAGCTGCTGTCAGCCTTCTTGCTGCTGACCAACTCTCCAGAGGACCACCATCCTCACACAGCAACCTTCTGGCAACCTTCTGTCCTCCTCTTGGAGGACAAATTTACTTTCAAACTTTGCTGACAACCAGCATGCTCACCCTAATTTTTATGACTTCTCTGCATGTTTAACATCTTGTGAATCAGCTTGAGGGAGGGCAGAGTACTTCATCCTGATTCTTTTTTTCTTTATACCTTGTAGATCATGTGCCAGCCTCATGTATTTTCAATTTGAGTCATGGTCTCAGCTTGACTCTAAAGTCAAGAGCTTCATTCTCTTTCTCCAAGAAGCTTAGGTTTTGCAACTCATCAATGATCTTCACAATCATGTTTTCATTTTCAATGTCCTCCTCGTGTTTCTTGTATCCTTCTTTTCATGATCATTTTGGGCTATCTCCCTAGAAACAGGGACCATTACATATATGTTTCTTAATAAACTCAAAACCATTCTTCTTATCACATGGTGTTTTTTTTTATTTTACAGCATTCCTGATATGGGATTTACACACATATTGCATACCATGTATGTTACCTAATTTGATTATCAAAACAGACAGTCATGTTTTATTACCTCCACTTTCCAGCTGAAAAAATTTTAATGTGTGATGTTATTTAGCTAAAAATGGACAGACTCAGATGCAAAGTTGGGTCTTTTTTTCTGTCCAAAGGCACTTACATTTAACTCTCAATAAAGAAAAAACTATATTGGGACTCAGCATTAGCAAGATATGCACTTAAGTTTACTTAACAATGGAGGAATAATCTCCTGTATTTGCAGATAACATTTCCATTCTTATATGGCTTCCTTCTTCTTCTCCTGAATACATATTGACAAGGCAAAATGAACTTAAATTATTCCTTATAAAATACAGATGCCATCTTTTGAGACTGTATATCTGGGATGCTGTGAAGATTCCAGAGAGAGAGAAAAGCCGCTGACTGGGATAGTCGTTGGGTGATGGGGTAAAGGAGACGAAGAACTAGCACATTCTCTTTGACCTACATCAGTTATATAAGACAAATAAGTTTTGCAGATCTGGTGTACACTAATTTGGATATAGTTTAAAATACTTTTTTGTACACCTGAAATTTGCTGAGAAAGTGGATCTTAAATATTCCCACCACAAAAATAAAAAGGAAATGGTAACTATGTGAGCTAATAAATATGTGATTATTTCACAATGAATATATATATCAAAACATAACCTTTTATACCTTACATATACACAATTTTTATTTGTTAATTATACCTCAAAAAAGCTAGTAAAGAAAGAATTTAGTTGATCTGGTTAGTTATTATACATATATTATCTTCAAAATTAAAATTATTTTTTAAGTTTTCTGGACAAAAAAAGAACTAATATGTTCTGGGTTGACTTCTATTTGATAGGTAGTGACTAAATGCTTTATTTTCATTAATATTTATTCTCAAAGAAATGTTCAAAGTAAGTATTAATGTTACCATTGTAGAGAGGAGGAAATTGAGGCTGAGAGAGTTAATGTAATATCATAGTGTGGTTTCTCCCAGAACAGATACCAAGAAAAATACTCCAGTGAAAGTAGTTTATTGGGAAGTGCAGATCACACCGGTAGGGATCAGGAAAGTGACACAGAAGAGGGTACACTATTGAGCTGGTAAGTATCACAGTGACTAACTAAAGCTTAAACCAAAGGGAAAACTATTAGAAATGATGAAAAACACATAAATTAGAATTCTCCAACTTCAGGAATAAAGGAGCTAGAGTCTTTGTAAATCAGCTCCCCAGAATCAATGGTCGAGTGTTTTTCGCTCTGTGGCATGCAGAAGTGACATGACTTTCTGCAGGTACAATACAAGAGCCTTTAGGCACAGAGATGCAGATTCTGGAAGATAGAAACTGGCCTGAGCACACTAAAATCCAAAATATATGGATGGGATAATGAAAACGTTATCTATGATCTGCCATTTGCTCTACTCAGATTTATTCTTTGCTTCTTAACTGTGATGGATAGCCAGAAATTCTAGGAAAAGGAGGGAGGGGAGGAGAGGAAGAAAATGGACAGAAAGGTCTGAGCTGCTAGTTACTGTACCATTGTCCACTGCGATTGCTGTTTTCACTCATTTGTGGTTATCACTGGGCATGGACACACTATGAGATTCTCCAATATTATGGCTTGACTTGTGTCCCCCAAAATTCATATTCAAATAGGGATATTGAAACTGTAATTACTTAAGATCCAGTCATATTGGAATCAGGCTTCTGATTCAATATTACTGATGCCTGTATAGAATGGGTAAGTTCAGAGGCAGTGTGCATCTAGAAGGATGGTCATGTTAGAGACACATGGAGAAGACAGACATCCACACTTCAAGGAGAGAGACCTGGAACAGATGCTTTCCTAACAGTCCTCAGGTGAAAACAACCTTGGCAACACCTTAAATCCAGACTGCTAGCCTTCAGAACTGCAAGAATATAAATTTAAGCCACTTGGTTTGTAGTGGTTTATCACAGCAGTGCTAGTAAATTAGTATGTTCAGTAAATCTCCTGAGCTACAGATACATTCTCCTACATGCCATGAAAACAGGATAATTACCCCTCACCAAAAAGGAACTCTTTTCTCTGCCTTCTGATCTGCTGACATGAAGAGTGCAAAATGACTAGGCAATAATTATTACCTCTGATTATGCAAAAGAAATAGAGAAGCAAATATTATAATTTTTATTCACACGAAGTAAAAAAGGAATAGCCAAATTGACCTACAGGGTTGCAACTTGATAGAGTGATTAGTGGTTTTTTGGGATGAGTAAAGGAATATAATTTAAAGGGAATGGGATTAATTTCTATTTCCTAACCTGGTAATGGGGACATAGCTTTATTTACAAAGTTATAACAAGTTGGAAATTAATAATTTGCATTCTTCTGAAATGAATGGTATACCTAAAAAATGTTTTAATATGTTAGAACTCCAAGACGAATCAGCTATCATCTCAACTCATCTAATTTCTTCATTAAAAAGAAATGGAGAAAGATAGAGAAAAGAAATGGCACTGACTATGCTACTACCAGAGTTAGGGCTAGAGCCACAGCTCATGCTGGCTTGCCTGAGTCTAAAGCACTTATGTTACACAAAGTCCCACATTTTCATTATGGTAAGCCCCTCTCTCCCAGACAAATCAGAATGAATGGTCAACCCAGGGCAAAGATTGCCTGATGCTATCTAAATCCCACTGGACTTCTCCTCGTACCCACCTGCTCTGGTTCTGCTCTGACACATAGAACACACTGTACCAATCACCCTTTTCCCAAGTGACTTTGATGGAGGTGAAAGACACAGGTGGTGTGGGTTGTACAGAGAGAGATGCCTGTTAGTCTTGAAACAGATTTTGGTGGGTGAACAGTCTTGAACATAGGCATGGATTCATTTTGTCTTTGTGACCATATCAGAATCATGATTCTCCCCACAGACACTTGCCAACCTACATACAACCAAAGAATGAGGCTGGGTAGAGAGAACTTCCTGAGCCTCCCTGGTCACCAGGAACTATCACATCACCAGAAGATGGTCAGAGCAGGAACAATGCTGATGATGAGACGGGCTTCCTTTTATCTGAAATAGTTTCTATGAGTAATCCACAATTAAGCAACAGATTAAACCCTTACTTTCAAAAGATTTATAACCTTTAGAAAACAACTTCCCCTTTGACAATACCAAAATGACTGTGGAAAACAACATAAACAGCAACAAGGAAAAGTCCTGCTGATTGGTGGAAACTTTGGAGGCCAGTTGTATAAAAGGTCCAGAGGGCAAGGGGTCATCAGATCCTGGGAAATTCACCTCTGAACAGAAGTCCACCCTCCACCCCTGACACCATGACCCACTGTTGCTCCCCTTGCTGTCAGCCTACCTGCTGCAGGACCACCTGCTGGAAGCCCACCACTGTGACCACCTGCAGCAGCACACCCTGCTGCCAGCCCTCCTGCTGTGTGTCCAGCTGCTGCCAGCCTTGCTGCCACCCAACTTGCTGTCAAAACACCTGCTGCAGGACCACCTGCTGCCAGCCCACCTGTGTGACCAGCTGCTGCCAGCCTTCCTGCTGCAGCACACCCTGCTGCCAGCCCATCTGCTGTGGGTCCAGCTGCTGTGGCCAAACCAGCTGTGGGTCCAGCTGCTGCCAGCCCAGCTCCTGTGCACCCATCTACTGCAGGAGAACCTGCTACCACCCCACGAGTGTCTACCTGCCTGGTTGCCTAAACCAGAGCTGTGGCTCCAGCTGCTGCCAGCCGTGCTGCCGCCCAGCCTGCTGTGAGACTACCTGCTGCAGGACCACTTGCTTCCAGCCCACCTGTGTGACCAGCTGCTGTCAGCCTGCTTGCTGCTGATCAGTTCCGCAGAGGACCATCATCCCCATACAGTAACCCTCTGGCAAAAGATTTACCTTCTGGGGGACAAATTTACTTTCAAACTGTGATGAAAACCAACAAAGTGAACTTAGGGTGAACTTTGCTCACCCTAATTTTTATGACTTCTCTGCATGTTTAACATTTTGTGAATCAGCTTGAGTGAGGGTAGAGTACTTCATCCTGATTCTTTTTTCCTTACACCTTGTGGATCATGTGCCACCTTCATGTATTTTCAATTTGGAGTCATGGTCTCAGCTTGACTCTAAAGTCAAGAGCTTCATTCCCTTTCTCTAAGAAACTTAGGTTTTGCAACTGATCAATAATCTTCACAATCATGTTTTCATTTTCAGTGTCCTCCTCGTGGTTCTTTTATCCTTATTCCTTTCATGATCATTTTGGGTTATCTCCCTAGAAACAGGGACTCTTACCTATATGTTTCTTAATAAACTCAAAGCTGTCCTTCATCTCACATGGTGTTTTTTTTTATTTTACAGCATTCCTGATATGGGATTTACACACATATTCCATACCATACATGTTACCTAATTTGATTATAAAAACAGATGGTCATGTTTTATTACCTCTACTTTCCAGCTGAGGAAAATTTTAATGTGTGATGTTATTTAGCTAAAAATGCAGACTCAGATTTAAGGTTGGGTCTTCTCTTTCTGTCCAAGAGCACTTATATTTAACTCTCATTAAAGTAAAAATTACATTGGGACTCTACATTCGCAAGACATGCACTTAAGTTGACTCAACAATGGAGGAGTAATCTCCTGTATTTGCAGGTAACATTTGCAGATAACATTTCCATTCTTATATGGCTTCCTTCTTCTCCTGAATACATATTGGCAAGGCAAAATGAACTTAAGTTATTCCTTAAAAAATACAGATGCCATCTTTTGAGACTGTATATCTGGAATGCTCTGAAGATTCCAGAAAGAGAGAAAAGCCGCTGACTGGGATAGTCGTTGGGTGGTGGGGTAAAGGAGAACTAGCACATTCTCATGACCAACATCAGTTATATAAGACGAATATGTTCTGCAGATCTGGTGCACTCTAATGTGGACATAGTTTAAAATACTTTATTGTATACCTGAAATTTGCTGAGAAAGTGGATCTTAAATGTTCACACCACAACAATAAAAAGGAAATGGTGACTATGTGAGCTAATAAATATATTATTATTTCACACTGTATATATATATATACCTCAAAACATAACCTTTTATACCTTACATATACACAATTTTTATTTGTTAATTATACCTCAATAAAACTAGTAAAGAAAGAATTTAGTTGATCTAGTTAGTTATTTTAAATATATTCTTATATTCAATATTAAAATTATTTTTTAAGTTTTCTGGACAAAAAAAGAACTAATATGTTCTAGGTTGCCTACTATTTGATAGATAGTGACTACATGCTTTATGTTCATTAATATTTATTCTTGAGGAAATGTTCAAAGTAGGTATTAATGTTACCATTGTAGAGATGAGGAAATTGAGGCTGAGAGAGTTAATGTAATGTCATAGTGTGGTTTCTCCCAGAACAGATACTTAGAAAAATATTCCAGTGAAAGTAGTTTATTGGGAAGTGCAGATCACACCATTAGGGATCAGAGAAGAGATACAGAAAAGGGTATACTATTGAGCCAGTAAGTATCACAGTGACCAACTAAAATTTAAACCAAAGGGAAAACTATCAGAAATGATGAAAAACACATAAATTAGCAATCTCTATCTTCAGGAATAAGGGAGCTAGAGTCTTTGTAAATCAGCTCTCCAAGATCATTGGTTGAGTTGAGTGATAGTCCTCTGTGTGGAATGCACAGGTGACATGACTTTCTGCAGTTGCAATACAAGAGCCCTTAGGCACAGAGATGCAGATTCTGGCAAATAGAAACTGGCCCAAGCACACTAAGATCTGAGAAATATGGACAGGATAATGAAAATGTCATCTATGGTCTGTCATTCGCTCCACTCAGATCCAATCTTTGCTTCTTAACTGTGATGGACAGCCAGAAATTCTAGGAGAAGGAGGTAGAGGAGGAGAGAAAGAAGAGGGACAGAAGGTTCTGAGCTGCTAGTTACTATACCGTTGTCCACTGTGATTGCTGTTACTCATTTGTGGTTATCACTAGGCATGGACACGCTCTGAGATACTTCCATATTTGGATTGATTTTTTTCCCCAGAAATTCATAGCCAAATAAGGTCATTGAGAATGTAACTAGTTAAGTAAGGTCACATTGGAATAAACTGGTCTTCTTATTCAATATGACTGGTGTCTGTATGAAAAGGATGGTAGAATAGAAGGAAGGGAAGGTAAGAGGAAAGGAAGGCAGGAAGGAAGAAGGGAAGGAGAGATATAAAATAAAGGCCAAATGGAACAAGATACAGTTACTACTGTAATAGGGTTCACCTGAGATTCATCATCTCCATTAGTTACCACAAGTTCTATACTCCCTTCACCACTGGCCAGCACTTCTGTTGTCTAGATAATTGCCTGATGATGTAAGCCAGAACCTCCTGCCTGAAGGGTCTGACCCTCTAGTTACTGTGTTATTGTCCACTGTGATTCCTGTTACTCATTTGCAGTTATCATCAGCCATGGACACACTCTGAGATACTTCAATATTTGGATTGACTTGTTTCCCCAGAAATTCATCACCAAATAGGGTCATTGAGAATGTAACTAGTTAAGGTAAGGTCACATTGGAATAAAATGGGCCTCTGATTCAATATAACTGGTGTCTGCATGACAAGTAAAGTTCGCCACACACCTACAGTCACCTCATTTTCAACAAAGGTGCCAAGAGCATACACTGGGAAAAAGGCATTCTCTTCAATAAACCATGCTGGGAAAACTAGATATCTCTATGCAGAGGAATGAAACTAGATCCCTCTTTCTCACCACATACAAAAATCAAATCAAATTAGATCGAAGACTTGAATCTAAGACCTCGAACTATGAAACTACTACAAGAAAATATTGGGGAAAATCTCCAGGACATTGGTCTGGGCAAAAATTTCTTGAGCAATACCCCGCAAGCACAGGCAACCAAAGCAAAAATAAACAAATGGGATCACATCAAATTAAAAAGCTTCTGCACAGCAAAGGAAACAATAACAAAGAGACAACCCACAGAATGGGAGAAAATATTTGCAAAATACCTATGCATTGTTAATGAATTAACAACCAGAATATAAGGAGGTCAAATAATTCTATAGGAAAAAAAATCTAATAATCTGATCACAAAATGGGCAAAAGATTTGAATTGACATTTCTCAAAAGAAGACATATAAATAAGCATATGAAAAGGTGTTCACCATCATTGATCATCAGAGAAATGCAAATCAAAACTACAATGAGAGATCATCTCACCCCAGTTAAAATGGCTTATATCCAAAAGGCAGGCAATGACAAATGCTGATGCAGATGTGGAGAAAAGAGAACGCTCGTGCATTCTTGGTGGGAATGTAAATTAGTACAAGCGCTATGGAAGACACTTTGGAGGTTCCTCAAAAAACTAAAAACTGAGCTACCATATTATCCAGCAATCACACTCCTCGGTATATACCCAGAAGAAGAGAAATTGGTATATCAAAGAGACATCTGCACTCCTATATTTGTTGCAACACTGTTTACAATAGCTAAGATTTAGCAGCAATGTAAGTGTCCACCAACAGATGAGTGGATAAAGAAAATGTGGTACATACACCAAATGAAGTATTATTCAGCCATAAAAAAGAATGAGATCAAGTCATTTGCAACAACATGGATGGAGTTGAAGATCATTATGTTAAGTAAAATAAGCCAGGCACAGAAAGACAAACACCACATACACATCCGGAGTAGGTTGCACAAAGACAGGTAGGTGCCTGTTATTCTTGAATCAGGCCTTGTAGGTGAATAGCCTTGACGCAGGCATGGATTCAGTTCATCACTGTGAACCTATCAGCATCATGCTCCTCCCCACAGACACTCCCCAAAGAACAAGCTGGGGAGAGACACCTGCCCTGACCTTCCAAGGCCAGTAGGAACTATCACATGACCACATGATGACCAGAGCAGGAAGGATGTCAATGATGTGACCACCTTCCTTTTATCTGAAACAAAGTTTCTAACAGTTATTCTCAATTAAGAAACAGATTAAGCCCTTACTCTCAGAAGATCTATAATATTTAGGAAACAACATCCTCTTCAATAATCCCAAACTGACTACGGAAAACAATGTAAACAACAACAAGGAAAAGTCCTGCTGATTGGTGGAAACTTTGGAGGCTTAGTGTATAGAAGGTCCAGATTGGAAGGAGTCATCAGATTCCGGGAAATTTACCTCTAAACAGGAGCCCACCCTCCACCCCTGACATCATGACCCAGTGTTGCTCCCCTTGCTGCCAGCCTATGTGCTGCAAGACCACCTGCTACAGGAGCATCTGCTGTGGGTCCAGCTCCCGCCCGCCTTGCTGTGGCCCAATTTGCTGTGCAATCACCTGCTACAGGACCGTCTGTGTGACCACCTGCTGCAGCCCACCCTGCTGCCAGCCCACCTACTGTGAGTCCAGCTGCTACCAGCCTTACCAATGAACTAACTCCCACTCCCCTGACTTTGTTGACAACCAACATACTGTTGCCAAACATTTGATGTGTTATATTGTTAAATTGTGAGGCTGCTTAGTGAAGTGGAGCTGGCTTCACTTTGATTTTTCTCTTCCTTATTTCCTATATATCAGAGTGCCAGCTGCTAGTCATCTTCATGGATCCTTGACATGAACTCAAGATCTCAGCCAAGGAAAAATTGTCATCCCCTTTTCCCTCTAACAATCTTAAAATATCAAATCCCTAAGACTGTTCTCTTAAGTCTCTGCAACTGATCAATATTGCTGCAAACGCCCAATATCAACCACGTTATATCAATGTACTCATTATTCCTGTGTCCTGCTTCTCACCTCCATAATCAGTTAGAATTATCTTCAAGGATCTAGAACTAGAAATACCATTTGACCCAGCAATCCCATTACTGGGTATATACCCAAAGGCTTATAAATCATGCTACTATAAAGACGCATGCACACGTATGTTTGCTGCGGCACTATTCACAATAGCAAAGACGTGGAACCAACCCAAATGTCCATCAGTGATAGACTGGATTAAGAAATATGGCACATATACACCATGGAATACTATGCAGCCATAAAAAAGGATGAGTTCATGTCCTTTGCAGGGACATGGATGCAGCTGGAAACCATCATTCTAAGCAAACTATCACAAGGACAGAAAACCAAATACCGCATGTTCTCCCTCATAGGTGGGAATTGAACAATGAGAACACTTGGACAAAGGGCAGGGAACACCACACCCCAGGGCCTGTCATGGGGTGGGGGTCAGGGGGAGGGATAGCATTAGGAGAAATACCTAATGTAAATGACGAGTTAACGGGTGCGGCAAACCAACATGGCACATGTATACCTATGTAACAAACCTGCATGTTGTGCACATGTACCCTAAACTTACAGTATAATAAAAAAATTATTTTAAAAAAAAGAATTATCTTCCTAAAGTCTTTCCTGTCATGGACCATACATTGGGGTTTTGTTCTGCACAGCTATTCCTTTAAAAGGCCTTGCATGTGTATTGTATTTCCTATTATCTCTTCTAATCTCATAGTAACCCCACAAGGTGGGCAAAGCAAAGACTATCATTTGCACATTACAAATGGGAAAAATCACTGGCCTCAGGTCATACAGTTAGAAATTGATAGAATTAAGTCCAATACCCAGATGTTCTGAATCTTGATCCAGGGCATTATTATTTAGATTTTAATACAAGTAGAAATAACTCTGGTGTCTGAGTTTTAGGGAAGGTGTATGATTTGAGTTGCTTGTTGACAAATGAAAATGAAATGTCTTGTACATGTAGGTCACTTTTCTACCTAAAAATGCAGAATACTTGAACAAAAAAGACTAAGAAACACCCTGCAATGCGCACAAGACACAGTTTCTGTGCTCCAAATGCTGGATCAACCTAGCTTCTCAATCAGAGGATTATAAGGGTAGTGCATATTTACAGAATCCTCAGAATTGAAGTAACTGAGCAATGGGTATATAATGCTTTGATCCAACCAGTGCCTCAATGTTGTGAGGCAAAGTTGAAGCAGAGGAGATTCAACATCAGAGTATTAGAAAAAGAAAACATAAGGATTTGAGAAAGAAAATAAAGGAAACTGGTCACTCTTAAAAAGTATACTGGATATAATGACAATAGACGTTATTGTAGTCCCCCAAAGTGGGAGCTAGACTTTCCGAAGAGCTGAACACCAAAGAGGATACCAAGATATTTCTTGAAAAAAAAGAACAGATACTGGCTCCAGGGGAAAAATAATATTCTGTGGCCTGAGCTATCACATAGTAGTTAGGTCTTAGGAAATCTAAGAAGGTGGAGGGATTTTCCAAAGAGGCTTCCATGTTGTCTGACTTGCTAAGTGCTTGCTCTCCTGATGCATTCAAGGATGAGCTGAGGCACTACCATTTACTGAGTAACTACAGGTATTAGTCTAGGTTTTTCTAATTCATAATCCACCAATGTTTTATTTTCCTCATTTCACAGATGAAGAAACAGAGGCTAAGGGAGATGAAGGAACTTGTTCAAAGTTGTACAGTTAACAGTTGACCTGGCTTCAAACACTAAGCTGTCTACACTACACTCACTGTGTGTGCTATGCTCCCTGCCCCTACCAGTCTAGAGACATAACCGGGTCTATGGAGTCTTGAATATGACAGCAAATTACTTGGTACCCTCACACAGTCTCATTTCCTTATTCTACCAATAGTTGGGACTTCGGGAGAGTGAATAAGAATAAAGACTTACATCTGGATATTAAAACAATCCTTTATTTAAATAAGATTTATTGAGCACTTACTGTGTGTTAAGTACTGTGCCAGGTGCTGTGATTACAGAAGTGAACGAGACATTCAACATCCTCACCTTTATTGTGCTTCGGGAAGAATACAAACAAGAGACAAAATTTATACAGTAGAAGTGAGGAAGGTGAGCCTATATTATTAATGATATAGGAAGGGTGGTTCATGACGACTGTATCTAACAGAATTGTATCTTAGCAACGAATCAGAGAGGGAAGGAAATAAAAAACTTCCATTTTGAACCCATGAATCAATTTACCAAGTAGAACAACAGGGGTGATACTGAAAGAACTCAGGTACAAAAATTCCCCAAAAATGTAAATGCAGAAACAATAAAACATGGTTGGAATATATTAAGTACTTCCCCCAAAGCCTGCAGCTTGTAGGTAGCAGAACAGGCATGATGCAAATACTCATCTATGTGATTTCGATCCTCATGGCCCAGACTTTCCTGCCTTCTTCCACAGTGGAAAACCTGTGCATGAACAAAGAAGGGAAGATGAACCCATGAGCTCTCTTTGTGTGGACATACTGCAGTCTTCCTGGCCAAACACAGGAAATTGATGATACATTGCAAAGGCAGATCACAAAACCAGCACACATGGGAGGAGAAGGGATGAAGGAACATCCAACAATCTAGCTATTTTGTGGGGACCTCAGAATCACTAAAATTGAGCAGAAGGTTCTTAGGCAACCAGGTAAACCACCTTGATCTAGATTTTAACAATGAGAAGGACTTGGTAAGCAAAGGTTAGTGATGATAAACTTGCTGCAAAAGGACCATGTAAAAATTTGTGATAGCAAGGCAAGGAAATGCTTGTTTGGCTGGAACTGCATTCTACAGAGCAGGAAGATAATTGGCTATTTACAGGAACATGAATGTGATTTTCCAGCAAAGGGCACTGGAATAGAGGATGGAGCTAAGGGTAGGGAAGCGCTCAGAAAAGCCATTCTGATTGCTTAGTCACAGATGCTTCTAATGAGGAAAAAGTTCAGGGGGTCTAGAGTGAGTACAGAAATTCTCTAAAAGCTCTTTAAAAGATCTTCCTAGGAATGGAACAGACCACCCCGGGTGTATGAATTTCCATTTACTAGACACTTAAGCATTGGATCTGGCAACACATGGCAGGAAGTTTATTAGGATTCCTTCCATGCCTGAGATTCTTTGAGATCCTTAAACACTCTGTCTTGCCCCATCATTATTTGATTAATTAATTGCTAACAGGTTGTTATTCTCTGAACTCCGTAAGCATTCACATACATAATGCTTTAAAGAAAGCATACACACTGTCATGATAATTGGCATTCCCTTGGAGATAAAAAAAAAAAAAAAATAAGGACTATCTCCCCAATGGCATGCAAGGTAGAATTCACAACCCTTGATAAATGTACCTGGTTCTGGCCTTTAGCCTTGCAGACTCAGAGACCTGATTTTGCTTACATTCTAAGGGTTAAGCCACGTCTTAGAGCAGACACCTGTTAGCCAAGCCCAAAAAGCAAGGATGCCTATTTATTAAATTACAGGAGAATTAAGTAACAGGAACTTCTAAAACACCACATGAGTAAGGAATCAGACAGGAAGTTATATAAACTAAATGTTGAATGGCATTTGACATGTTCGTTTCACAATAGTTCTCACCAATGGAAATTGAAAATTCATAGTCCCTCTCCTGTGGGCAGTTGCCTGGAGGCACACTGCCAACATTCACCCCAGCACTTGTCTTAACCCTGATTTTCCATGGTTCAACAATACTCTAATTTAACTTTCACATTTTTACATCTTCAATTAGACTTGAATCAATTCCTCAGACTTTGAATGCATACATCTTTTTAAGGTGACGCTACATAATTTGGTTTTGATCGTTTTGAACATAGGTTCCAAGTCTTGGATGATATCTGACTGTACCAATGCATTCTCATTCACACCATTGCATGGTGAGCATCCATGATGAAATTTATATTTGGTTTAGTTCATGTCTACCATCATATCTGTTGACTATTTGTAATATTTCTATTGCATGTCAGGATAACTTGGGCTTTGTTTATCTTTCTTATCTCACTAAGTCTTTAAAAAAAGATTACTGTGTGATACAGAGTTGTCATCATAGTGATAATGTAGAATTATCATCAGAGTGTTGGGTTGACTCTTATGATTTTGTGTGTGTCTTTGTTCATCTAATTATAATCTAACATCACCAACCTGTTATGAGTGACACACCACATACTTCTTCCTTCCTCCCTGCTGTGAGTTATAGTGGTGATTGGACTATAATTAATTTATTCTTCTTAGAATTTGAATTACACATAAAAGACAATCCCTAGGTTAGGCCCTCTAGTGCAATGTAATATTGTTATGGAAAGAACAGGGATTAATTTCAGAAAAACCAGCCTGTGTTTCCTACATTCAAAATAGGGAAAACTCGGCTCTTTCATCACTGGACACCTTCTCCTTGGAACCTCTTCTGACAGATGGTTCAGATAACACAGCTTGGGATTTTTCTTGTGAATATGCAGGAAACAAGAATGAATGTTATATTCTAAGATCAAACGCTGGGATAAATTTAATTAAATTGTAGGTTTGGAGATAACTAATGCAGAAAATATAGGATTAAAAATCAGAAATAAAATTAAAATGATTCCCACTTAAATAAACAAATATAGACATTATTCTAGAATATAAATCAAGAAAGCCTAAATTGGATAGATTGTATAAACTCGCTAAGGAAAGCATGCAAGCCTTATCCATCCTTTATTATCACTGCGTTCCACAGTGGCTGTGGCCTGTCCCAGACCAGAAAACCTTCAGATCCTCTTTCTAAACAAAAGCATTCCTTATGCAAGATAAGGACAAGGTAAAAACCAAGCTCTTCAGCCCCAGTCAGATTCCTGCTTGGAACAAAGATTAAGATGGAAAGGGTCAAATTTCAATAATCTTCTGCCCTTTAAGGTTGATTCCTAGCAAAATCAACCCAGTTTTTTCCAAGCATTCCCCTTTAAGTGCCCAATAGTAATAAATATAGCAAAGCATAAGTATACTTAATATATAAAACAAACCACTCACTAAGACCAACATTAAGTCCACTATGAAAGAACTGTACCTACACAAATAGGTGATGATAAGAATATAAGGGATTTCATTTAAGATCTACTGGTAAAATTATGATTAAGACATAAGAAAGGAGGACTTCTTAATATTACTTATATATTCAAAGAATAATATTTGAACAGAATTGTGTAGAAGGACAGCTGGAAAGGGGAATAGTGGCCCCAAATGGATGTAAACAGCATAGGAGAGAATTTAGTTTCTTTAAATGAGTTCTAGTTTCCTGACCGTGGACAAACTACTTCTCAGATACTGAGACATCTTCCAAGTGAGAACATTGAACACTGAGCTCTTTTTTTTTTTTTTTTTTTTTTTTTTTTTTGAGATAAGTCTCGCTCTGTCACCAGGCTGGAGTGCAGTGGTGCGATCTCGGCTCACTGCAACCTCCACCTCCAAGGTTCAAGCAATTCTCCTGCTTCAGCCTCCTGAGTAGCTGGGATTACAGGTGCCCGCCACCATGCCCATGTTTCACCATGTTGGCCAGGATGGTCTCGATCTCTTGACCTCATGATCTTTGGGAGGCCCACACTGGCCTCCCAAAGTGCTGGGATTACAGGTGTGAGCCACCACACCCAGCCAAGAACATTGAACTCTTATTGGTGATGTTTGAAGAATCGTGGGGAACCTAAAATTTGGGAGACTGGATCTATATTAGCATCAGAGAAAATTTTCATTCAATCTGAACTGATCAAAATAAGGATAGCTCCCTCTCCTTCAGGAAGCATTGAGCATGCCAGCATTTGCAAAATATATACCCGAACTTGAATTGCAAGAGCAGTTTTTTCCTTTTTGGCCCTGAAAATAACTTACAACATCCAAGAAGACTTTAAACAATCTATCTTTTACCTATTGCACAATTTGTTATTATACAATAGGGGGCTTATTGTTATTATTGTTGTTTGTAATGGTATTTCTAGGGCTTTCTATATTTCAAATGACTGACTCTTAATTCTGTTTAGTGCTGAATCACTGTTTTCCTCTTTCGTTTTTCTTTTAACTGGTAAATATTAACTTCCTTCATACAGCTCTGTCCTAAGACAGGTACAGCTAGCTTATTGGTGACAGCCGGACATGCTTGCACTGAATGACCGATGGTTTCCACTCTTCTTCTTTCCTCCTCTTTCCTAGTAGCTCAGTTCAATAAGGTTAAGCCCTTTTCTGATGGTTTGAGATACATTTAAAATGAATTTCTTATATTTATTTTTCTGGTGAAATAATATGTTATCAGGGAAACAATAGGGATTTGGCTTTTAAAAATTCATCATAGTCTTGTTAAAAAAAAAATTATTCAATGGCACTTGTGAAAGCCTGGTAAGGGAGACTTTATTCAGGAACACTGCAGTAAACAAAGGAACCACCATAACAGGGTCTTGCATTGGGAGACAGAGATTGGACTCATCTCCTAACATAGCATGGGCAAGTGAGAATTTACAGCCAAGGAGCAGGGTGGCGGTCAGTGGATGGAAAATTACTAAGAGGAAGCATCACCAGTAGGGAAATTTTGGCTAAACTGACCTAAAAGTGCTCTTGCTGAAGACAGGCGAGGGTGATCAAACATCACTTGGAGAATGGTGGCAGATAAGAGATCTGATCCGCTATTAAGGGTGATCAGATATCGAGGATGGGGAGTTCTTGCTAAACCTATTTAGCAGGGCTCTTTGCTAAAATTTTACAAAACTGGATTTTACAAGGAAGTGCACCCATGGGCCTATGAGAAGGTTCAGAAGCTTGACTAAACTATGGACAAGGAAAAAAATCTTCATTGGTCCTTACTGCCTTTTTAAAGAAACATTGGACTTCATGGCCACTAGTGAGGGTTTGGATTTAACTAATGAGTATCACTAGAAATTGGACATGCATGAGATTCACCATCCCTGTCCACCACCTCTGCTGATTGTCTTAATAACTGGTTAATTTTGCCACCTCTAAAATATCTTTCCTGCACATTTCTTCATTGTATTTATAATTTGAATTATCTTCTTTGCAACTAAGGCATTTCCCAATTTATCACCTAGTAATCTATACTCATCTTGCATATCCTTTCGTGACCTAGATTATGTGTGCAGTATATCCTTCATAAGCTCTTAAATTTAAAGGATATTTTATATTTTACAAAGCTTTTTCCCATTTTGGCCTGGCACAGTGGCTCACACCTGTAATCCCAGCACTTTGAAAGGCCAAGGCAGGAGGATCATTTGAGGTCAGGAGTTCGAGACCAGCCTGGCCAACATGGCAAAACCCGTCTCTACTAAAAATACAAAATTAACCAGGCTTGGCAGTGTGCACCTGTATTCCCAGCTACTCGGGAGGCTTAGGCACGAAAATCACTTGAACCTGGGAGGCAGAGTTTGCAGTGAGCTGAGATCGCGCCACTGCACTCCAGCCTGGGTGAAAGAGCAAGACTTTGTCTCAAAAATTAATTAATTAATTAATATTTTTAAAAAAACAAAGTTCTTTCACATCTATTCCCATGCCACTAAGTCAAGAGACTAATTTTTAAGACTTCGGGAAAGATCTATGGATCCCATCCATGCTGACTTAGAGCATAAGCAAATAGTTCATTTAAACAGCAACCCTTTAACCAGGCACAGTGGCTCACACCTGTAATCCTAGCACTTTGGGAGGCCAAGGTGGGTGGATCACTTGAGGTCAGGAGTTCAAAACCAGCCTGACAAATGTGGTGAAACCCCGTCTCTATTAAAAATGCAAAAAATTAGTGGGGTGTGGTGACACGCACCTGCAATCTCAGCTACTCGGCAGGCTGAGGCAGGAGAATCGCTTGAACCCAGGAGGCGGAGGTTGCAGTGAGCCAACATCAAGCCACTGCACTCTAGACTGTGCGACAGAGCAAGACTGTGTCTAAAAAGAGCAATCCTTGGATTTTGTTTGCAACAGCTCTAGACTATTTATCAGGAAATCACTACCATCAAATATTTTTCCAGTTCCAGCTAGGTTCAGGTGTTGCCAAGAAGTTTCTGATGAAGTGGGCTACAGGAGGGAACTTACTTCTAGATGTTATAGAACTATTGTTGTAAGATGAATTTATTTAGGTGGGCAAACTGATGAGACCAACATGAGTAACACCAAATGCCGTACACCACGCAGATGGGCAAGTTTCATGTTATACTGGGGACTCATGGGCTCATTACACCCATCTTTTGGGCCATTTTTATGTCTCAAATATCAGTTTTTATTCTGTTGTCTTAACTTATAGCCACTGAGATAACTCCCTACTGATATTTAGTTTCCAAGTTGACCTTTACAAGGCTGCCTTAACTTTGCCCCTTAACATCCTTTATCAAAGCCCATTACACGAATCCCACATTTGAGATTTCCAAAATAAGACAATCATGCATAGCTTTTCCTCAGGAATGGAACTTCTCAGGACAAGTCTGACGTGTACCCTAGTTATTAAATAGATAGGGAAACAATCAGAAAAATGACAGGGGAAATTTCATTCTAATAGACACTGGGAGAAAAGATGGCTTATGTTGACTTAATTCTTTTTAAAATACTTTACTGTGTGTGATTAGTATCCTAAGGCCTTTTAAAATACTTTTCAGTATACTATAAAGATGCCAGAGGGAGTTATAAGGAGCTATGGGCTGGGATTTGATTGAAAAAGTCCAAGTAGGTCAGGCGTGGTGGCTTGTGCCTGTAATCCCAGCACTTTGGGAGGGCAAGGCAGGCAGATCACTTGAGGTCAGGAGTTCAAAACCAGCCTGGCCAACGTGGTGAAACCCCATCTCTACTTAAAAAAATAAAAAATAAAGGCCAAGTAGAGAATACGAGTTTGAGCCATATGAAGTTTCCATTTTTGTAGATCAAAAATAACTGCATAGCTACAACTTCAAAGGTTTAGCCTTAGGAAGAAAGATTCGTGAACAAGTCATTAAACAGGGATGGTAGGAGTCCATGAGAAGAATGAAAGAAGCTCCAGATGCTTTTTGGTTGGAAAAAAACAAAAACAAAAACAAAAACAAAACAGCAGAAAACATGGTGAAAATGTGTTTTTTAATGAAATGGTTGTAAACAAAGTGAGTATGCCATTAAACAGGAAAAGGCCTATTGCTTTGTACTGATAATCTTGTACTGTGCTTGCGATATAGAAATCAACGCTCCTCTTATTTCTCTTTAGTCTTTTTTTTTTTTTTAATAGACAGAGTTTCGCTCCTGTTGCCCAGGCTGGAGTGCAATGGTGCGATCTCGGCTCACCGCAACCTCCACCTCCTGGGTTCAAGCAATTCTCCTGCCTCAGCCTCCCAAGTAGCTGGGATTACAGGTGCCCACCATGCCCGGTTTCTTTCTTTCTTTCTTTTCTTTCTTTTCTTTCTTTCTTTCTTTCTTCCTTTCTTTCCTTCTTTCTTTCTTTCATCTTTAGTAGAGACAGGGTTTCACCACATGGGCCAGGCTGGTCTTGAACTCCTGACCTTAGATGATCCACCCGCCTCAGCCTCCCAAAATGCTGGAATTACAAGCATGAGCCACTGTGCCCAGCCTTTTCTTCAGTCTTTCTAATGAGAATAGTAACCAACCATCTGTAAAGAGAAAGAGAAAACCAAGATTAGGGCATAATAAGCAGTAACCAGTAGTTTGTCCCTGGGGAGGGGGATGTGGATGGGGTGTTTGGAAACTAGGACTTCCCATTTTTTTTCCTACATTGTTTTCCCCCTCAAGCACAGGTTACTTTTATAACAAAAGAAAAATTGAAATGTTTCCTTCTGAACTGAAATGAGAAAACTTGCAACAAGAGCGACAGATTTTAATTCCTTTTGATCTGAATAAAGAGAGCTATAAGCACTAAAAGAAGTTTAATATGAAGTAAGCTCCTCAGTGTGATGTTGCATTTTTTGTATGATGCATTTGTATCCACCCTTCATCCAATTCATGATCCATGAACTGTAAATATGTCAGTATCTGGCAAGGAAAATCTGGGCTTATAAAAGGAACCTGGCCTCCTTATTTCAGGCTGAGAGCAGGGATTGAGAGAAGATCTGAGATCTCCCGGTGGCGTATGGCACAAAGACTGTGAAGGTTATGCTAGAAACACTCTTATTTGGTGTCTATCTTTTCAGACAATAGGAAATAATTGAATTGGAAAAATGACTAAACATTGATAAGGACAAATCAATTTTGCAAATGCTTAGATTCTCTAAATAAATTCATGTCACTGCATGCTGTGCACATTAGGTCCCAGAGCAGTTAGAGACTGAAAATAAACCACATATTGATATTTGAGGAATGTTAGAGAACAAGAGCTACTCAACGTGTTGAGACAAGCAAAGACCATCCCAATTTTTCAAGTTTCTGCAAACCATACACCAATCAGCTTGATCTTATCTTAGAAAAAGACTTTAGAATAAATTGTTCAGATGATCTTTTGTGAATGCCAAAAAATAAAACATGGTACCACTTAGACCAACCCATGTAAAATAACTTTTTATTTTTGCTAGATTCATTGATAAACGAAATTCAGTACAAAATGAATCTGGATTTCAGCAGAGCATTTCAAAAGGACTCTCATCGTAGCTTATGAAAACATTGCAGAAAGGTGGATTCAATTCAGTGACAATTTGCCAAGACATGTTTTATTCTAATGTCACTGTCTTACTTTATCCAATAATAATAAGAACTTGATCCTAAATTCAAACTGAGGCCCTGGATAAGAGATGGGCTAGAGGGGCAGATAGGCAGACAGTTTGGGGCAGACTCACTGGACAGTCTTTTCTGCAGATGCTCAGAGCATCTAGAGATTGCTAGGAGGAGACAGTATTGTTAACTTGGACTCAAACTAACAAGCCATACTTCTGAAGCTAATATTAAACCTGAACCTGAAGAATTCCCTCTTCCAGGCAGTGGCGGTCAGGACATCATTATGGCTGGAGTAGAAATCTGAACTTAGAAACAGGCATTCAAAAGCAGGAACATACTGGGCGCAGGGGTTCATGCCTGTAATCCCAGCACTTTGGAAGGCTGAGGCGGGCAGGATCACCTGAGGTCAGAAGTTCGAGACCAGCCTGGCCAACATGGTGAAACCCTGTCTCTACTGCAAATACAAAAATTAGCTGGGCATGGTGGTGGATGCCTGTAGTCCCAGCTACTCAGGAGGCTGAGGCAGGAGAATCGCTTGAACCTGGGAGGGGGAGGTTGCAATTAGCCGAGATTGCACCATTGCACTCCAGGCTGGGTGACAAGAGCAAAATTCGGTCAAAAAAAAAAGCAGGAACAAAGGATATCAATACAGGGACCAGAAAACCTTTGAGCAGTGGTAGAGGTTGCCCCTACAGGAGGACAAATGCCACCTCACTAAATAGGGACTTAGACATTCAAATACCAGCACATTTCCTCTTCAGGGCGGAGATCTCTGTAATCCCAGCACTTTGGAGGCTGAGGCAGGCAGATCATGAGTTCAGGAGATCAAGACCATCCTGGCTAACACGGAGAAACCCCGTCTCTACTAAAAATACAAAAAATTAGCCGGCCGTGGTGGTGGGCACCTGTAGTCCCAGCTACTCAGGAGGCTGAGGCAAGAGAATGGCGTGAACCCCGGAGGCGGAATTTGCAGTGAGTGGTGATCGCGCCACTGCACTCCAGCATGGGTGACAGAGCGAGACTCTGTCTCAAAAACAAACAAACAAACAAAAGAATAGTATTTAATTATATCATCAGGCAGACATGACCTGGAAAATATGGACTATACTCAAAAGAAGAGGATGGCTATTCCCTATCCTGTACTGGCTAACAGATAATTTGATCGTGAGTTAGGCTCTGATCATGCCCCTTTTAAAGGAATATTGAATAATTGGAAAGTCTTGCAAGTAGAGCAACTATCCTGAGAATAGGACTGGAATTCAAGTCACATAATGAAAAATGATGGTATCCAGTGATAATTATCCCAGAGAAAAGAAGATCTTTGGGGGAAGGGAAAGACTTAATGTAGAAGATGGATTAGATGTGTCCTGTGTGGCCTTATAGGGTCAAGAAACAAGACGACCGATTTAAGCAAAAATAAGTGAAAAGTCATTCCTGGAGCTGACTAGAGAGACACATGTTTTCTTGGGAAGTCGTGTGCCCTATTCTCTGGAGACAGGAAAACACAGACAAAAAAACTAATAGGGATGTCACAGAATGCTTGCGTAAATAAATGGGTAATTTGATCAACTGATATGCAAGATTCCTTAAGTCATTAAGGATTTATGAAGGCATGTCTCATGCCTGTAACCCAGCACTTTGGGAGGCTGAGGCAGGCAGACCACTTGAGGTCAGGAGTTTGAGACCAGCCTTGGCTAACATGGTGAAACCCCATCTCTAGTAAAAATACAAAAATTAGCCAGTTGTGGTGGCATGCACTTGTAATCCCAGCTACTTGGGAGGCTGAGGCTGCGGCTGCAGAATTGCTTGAACCCAGGAGGCGGAGGCTGCAGCGAGCCAGGATTGCACCATTGCACTTCAGCCTGGGCGACAGAGTGAGACTCTGTCTCAAAAAAAAAAAAAGACTTATGAAAGCAATGATCATACAAGTTCTGACCATTGTCCTGAATTTTAACCAAGGTACCCGTCAGAGTAGGAAACCTACATCTCAGAGTGGTTTTGCCATTACCAAAGCCATTCTTGACTTTAGTTGTTTTCAAAGTTTACACCACCCGATTTAACTGCCATTATCCTTCCCATTGGCTGTTTTCATCAGTTTCCAGGCAATTCCACCCATTTATTTGTGGGTCACTGTCTTTCTTTTCTCCTCTAGGCCTGTCTCTTTTTTTTAGTGAATTCAACTTCCATAAGGATAATTCATCAAACATCTTGATCTCTCAGTTCGTTGACCTCTTCACCAGCCATGAGTTTTCCCCTTCCTCCATCCCAGTCACTCATTACCAGAATAATTTCCTGATCCTCATTATCACAAAAATGGAACCAGATGAGAAACTAACCAGAGTATTTCTTTCCATAAGATTTATTACACTTAGTTAACAACTTTCTGCCAAACCATCCTTCAGAGCTAAAGGGAATACCATATACAGTAATAAGGAAAGGATGTTTCCTTCCCAAAGACAGGAATTGTTGCAAAACTGATATATTTAAAACCCCAGAGGAAAAAAAATTGTATTCTTAGATTTGGGGAAACTTGTCCCTACATAGAAAGCCTCCAGGTGATTCTAGCCCATAGCCATTTGGATATTTCCAACCAAAGTCCAAGACATCTCAGATTGTAGACAAGCTCTCTCTGCTGTGCACTGGCTGAATTCCTGACCCACAGAATCCACGAGCATATTGGAAACTGGAGAAAGGAAAATTCTTGCTATGCAGTGGCAGAAAGTACTCTGTCATCCGCAGTTTTGAGGCAAAAGTAGAAAGGTTCCTGGTGAACTGAGTGATCTAACTAAGGAAATTTCCAACTAAAGTCTTGAAGGTGTTCTTTGATTTCTTCTTGCTGACTATAATAAAATGTGAGAAGAGAAAGATAAATTGAGAGAAGGGCTGATTAAAAAAAAAAAAAAGGATCCTGGACAGTATTGTTTGTTTTGAAAATTCTCAGCCTCTCCAATGGCAAATAATGCTAAAGTTTAAAAATGACTTCTAAGCAAATATCAAATTGAAGACAATGCCAGAGAAATTCAGATATACCAGAAATCATGCCCTAAAGATAAAGCTAACGTGTGGCTATAAGATTTTTTAAGATCTGAGAAAGTCAAAAATTAGAAAATTATTTTCATTTCAAAAATGAAAAATGGGGAACAGCTACATACAAAAGCCCCTCTAAAGATATTAAGCGAGGCCGGGCGCAATGGCTCAAGCCTGTAATCCCAGCACTTTGAGAGGCCGAGGCGGGTGATCACAAGGTCAGGAGATCGAGACCAGCCTGGCCAATATGGTGAAATCCCCTATCTACTAAAAAATACAAAAATTAGCCGGGCATGGTTGTGGGCGCCTGTAGTCCCAGCTACTTGGGAGGCTGAGGCAGGAGAATCGCTTGAAACAGGGAGGCGGAGGTTGCAGTGAGCCAAGGTCGCCGCCACTGCACTCCAGCCTGGGTGACAGAGTGAGGCTCTGTCTCCAAAAAAAAAAAAAAAAAAAAAAATATTAAGTGAGAACCTCACAGACACTCTCGGATAAGTCAAAGAGGCTTCTAGGAAACTTAAGGGCATTGTCCTCAGCTATTACATCAGGGGTCCAAGTGTTTATCTCTAGATGATCTGTGGTAGTAACTTTTGTCTAATAGAGTAAACTCCAAGAAGATTCACAGGAGAACCACAAATTTTTTCTAAAAATTATATATACAAACAAATTGCCAGCTTGAACAGAGGCATGTCTCACATGGTGGCAGACAAGAGAAGAGAGCTAGTGCAGGGAAACTCCCCTTTTTAAAAACATCAGATCTCGTGAGACTCATTCACTATCACGAGAACAGTGTAGGAAAGACCCACCCTCATAATTCAATCACCTCCCACTGGTTTCCTCCCATGACACATGGGAATTGTGGGAGTTACACTTCAAGATGAGATTTGGGTGAGGACACAGTCAAACCATATCATTAGGTTAGGCTGTAAAGGGACTGTGACTTATATATATATATTATATATATATATATTTTATACTTTATATATATATATTTTATAATATATATTTTATATATTATATATCTATTTTTTATACTTTAAGTTCTAGGGTACATGTGCACAATGCGCAGGTTTGTTACATATGTATACACGTGCCATGTTGGTGTGCTGCACCCATTAACTCGTCATTTACATTAGGTATATCTCCTAACGCTATCCCTCCCCCAACATACCAGGCCCTGGTATGTGATGTTCCCCTTCCTGTGTCCAAGTGTTCTCATTGTTCAAGTCTCACCTTTCTCTTCGCTTCCTCTGGGAGAATCCAGATGCTGTGCTATGAGGACAATCAGCCAGAGTATGGAGAAGCCCATGAGGCAATGAACTGATATCTCTGGCTAACAGTTGGTGTGAACCAGTGGCCTTCCAGTGTCCACATAAATGAGCTTGGAAGTGAATCCTTCTCTAGTTGAGCCATGAGATGACCGCAGCCCCAGCCAACACCTCACCAACCATCTCATAAAAGACCCCAAGCTGTAGGTATCTAGCTAAGCCACATCTAGTTTTCTAACCCACAGAAACAGTGAGATAATAAACTTTGTTGTTTCAGCCACTAAGTTTTGAGATAATTGTTATGCAACAATAGGTAACTAATATAATGAAACAGGTCCATGTATCAAAATGCATAGTTCTTAAAAGCAATAATGAAATTTAAAAAGTAAATTGCATAATTTTACATCACATACATAAATTCTTAAATCTGCAATCCTTCATACTAGGTCTTGTTTAAATACTTTATAAATATAAGATGTTTATATTTTTATATAAATTAACAGTGACTGGGAGAATATACAATAAAATTATGATAGAAGTTATATCTGAGATGAAAAAAGGGAAATAAGACTGAAGAGGGGACTTCAACTTTACAAGCATAATGTTTCATTTCAATTAATTTTTTAAAGATCCAAAGCAGAAGTAAGAAAATGCCAATTTGGAGAGGCAGGTTCTTGTAATATTTTTCTCAAAATTTTCTTGTATTTTTAAAATTGTTCCCTGCCCTGAAAATAAGTGTAAAGAAAGATTTAGTTACATGTTCAGGCTTGGCAGAACATTGCTTATTAGAGGAGATTCAGATGTTTTATGGACAAGCCCTAGCAAACTTAAAAGGAGAAAATACATGCTATGTCATTTAAACTGTTGCCAAGCATGGTTAAAGACACAAAGCTTCTCAACTCATGTTTCACATTTGACATGTTTAGAATGTGAAGTTTGCATGTTGGCAGATGGCCGGTAAACACACTTGCCTATAAAACTGAGAAATCTGTCATTGGGACAACAAAAACTATGAGGTAGATGGGTAAAAAAAAAACTATTATAAAATGAAATTTGAAGTTTCAGGTGTCTTGAGAATCCTGGTATCAATCAACAAATTATTAAAGTTAATATAACTCCTAAACAATGTCTGCATCCTCTTGTAAGAAGCATTCTTGAAAAGTCTATGCAATATGAGATGAGGTGCATCTGCTTCCCAGAGCCATATCCTTCCTCTAGCATGATGGAAATCTCCATGGAAGGTGTGGGAGAGAGAATTTGAACAGGGTGTCCATCAAAATGTCATTTCTGGAAGACATTCTATCCACGGTAATTCCTTTGTGGTGTCAAGTTCCCTCTCTCTCCTTCTTCCTTTTTAAAAAAATTTTCTTTTGGGACCTTAGTTATAAATAATTGAATTATTATCATCTGTGATTTTTGCATGGTCCCTCTCTTATTTATTTTTTATGTACTTATAAATCAGTTAATTTACTTCTTCTTCTCCCTTTACTCCCTTCGTTTCCTATAGGCCACTATGCTATTCTGTCTAATGTATATTCAACGCATATTAAATTTATTTAATGGATTTGTATATATCCTTATAAAGTATTGTTCAGTACACATATACTTTATGTAAATAGCAATCAGTAATATATCTCATTCTGGTTTGTCATTAAGCAGAATTTTTAAAAATCCATCTATGCTACAGTGTGTATATGTAATCTATTGTTATTAATTCCTGCATGATACTCCATGAAGAGGATCACCGAGTTGCCTACCCACTTTCACAGTGTTGGACACCAGCTTTCCTTTGACGTTTTTGCCACCATAGGGATGCTATAGTGAACATCCACATGTACACCTCCCTGAGGACCTGTGTGAGAATTTTCTGGAAATACACACTCAGGTGTTGGATTGCTGGATCATGGAGCATCACTTACATAATTTACATAAATAGTTTCAGATTGTTCTTTAGAGTGGCCAAACAAGCCAACAATCCCATTAGCAATGCAGGAAAATTCCTGTAAATTCCCACTCCCACCAACACTTGGCATTATATAGCACAGGAGTCAGAAAACTATGGCCCATTGATACAGGAGCGGGGCAGGGAAGTGCTGGGAGAAGAAGGGTGGGTCCCTGGTGAGGACTCCACCCCTACTGTGCCCACGGACCTAGGGAACAGGCATTTCTGAATGAATAAGAACAGGCATTTCTGTTTTTGTGCCCAAACGTTGCATTTCCCAAAACCACCCTGGCCCACCACGCCCTCATCCTGTGCCTAGTGGGAAGAGACACAGGCAGCTGGACATCCGAGAGGAGCAAATCGTCAGAAGAGCACACCGACAGGCAGCGGCAGACGCCAGCAGGACGGCAGGCCATCGACAGGGGGAACCATAGTGAGTTTGTCGGGGGCGGGATGAGGGAAGCCTGGCTGAGCAGCCCAACTCCAGGGGAAAACCACCTTCCCACTCCATCCCCCTTCTGGCTCCCCCGTCTGCTGAGAGCTACTTCCACTCAATAAAACCTTGCACTCATTCTCCAAGCCCATGTGTGATCCGATTCCTCCAGTACAACAAGGCAGGAAACCCTGGGATACAGAAAGCCCTCTGTCCTTGCCATAAGGCAGGGGGTCTAATTGAGCTAACTAACACAACCCATCTATGGACGGAGGCTAAACTGAAAGAGTACCCTGTACACACACCCACTGGGGCTTCAGCTGTAAACACTCACCCCTAGACGCTGCCGTGGGGTCAGAGCCCCAAAGCCTGCCCATCTGCATGCTTCCCCTAGAAGTGTGAGCAGTGGGGCACGGAAGAAGCGAGCCACGCCCCCGTTGCACGCCCTGCGAGGGGAACAAGGAAACTCTTCCCGTCTCACCATGAGCCAAACAGAGCCCCAGCCTGTTTTTACAAAGTTTTATTAGAACCCAGCCACACTCATTTGCTTACATATTGTCTATAAATGTAATGATATAATGCAATGATACAACGGCAAAATTCAGTAGTTGCAACAGAGACCATGTGCCCCACAAAGCCTAAATTATGTATATCTGTCCCTTTACAGGATAAGTTTGCTGGGCTCTGATATAGCACTCTATTTTTTGCAAATCTAATACCTGTAAAGTAATATGTAATTGTTATTTTAATTTTGAAATCTCTGAGAAATAATACTTTTGAGAATTCTTTCACAGGCTTACTTAAGGATTCATCTTCCGTGAAGTTCCATTCATGTCTCAAGAGAGGTTTTGCACAGGGTGTCCACCCAAAGATCGTTTCTGGGAGACATTCCATCCATGGCACTTCCTTTGTGATATCAAGTTCCCTCTCTCCCCCTCCTCCTTTTTGTTTCTAATTTTCTTTTTGGACCTCAAAATTAGTCAATCACATTTCTTATTTTATGGCATACTAAAAAGATATCCTTCCAAATCTCTTCCCCATCAGTTCCAGAAGTACAA
This sequence comes from Homo sapiens, assembly GCF_000001405.40. Lineage (NCBI taxonomy): Eukaryota > Metazoa > Chordata > Mammalia > Primates > Hominidae > Homo > Homo sapiens. Next base: position 7,537 of record NW_003871093.1, on the reverse strand, counting down.
GAGGCTTCAGTTTTAATCAGTTTGAGAATATTTAGAACCTCACAGAACACATCAACAAACTCACAAGATCATGTAAATAAATGAGCCCTCAGAGGTAGAATAAACTAACTTCTTCGTGTTATAGATTAGCACCCTGGTGTTACATAAGGTCATACAGTAAATAAGTGGCCAGGATGCAACTCAAGCCTTCTCCTTTGAGCCGTGGTCTAGTGCTTTTTCCTCACCACCACCATAGAAGTCCTCCTCTGAGTTGCATTTCCAAGCAGGTCATAAGGCAAATGCCCATACTCTTGTCCTTCAGTGACCTTGATGTCTCATTATTCCCGGGCTCTTTTGGTTAGTTTTCCTTCATCTGTAAGGTTTTTTTTAGAATGTCCCACACATATTGGCAAGACCTATTTAACTACTGAGAACCTCAAATCACAGTGATTGAGAGGACTGGAACGAGAGATGCTCAGCCAGTGACCATCAGGTAAGTTTATGAGCAGATCCTAAGGTCCCTCCTCGGGTTGGGGAGAAGGCCCGATCTGGGAGAAAGTCAGGGCACTGGTCATAAAGACATAAGGACAGAAGTCCAACCATTTAAACTGGGACAGGAGTCATCCAAAGGGCAGGGGGGAACAAGAGGGTGATATCAGCTGGGCCAGTTAGATGGGGAAGGCTAAAATGCTAAAATCAGTCTTTTAGTGCACTTTACTCAGGTTTGGCTAGGCATGTTTTATAGGCAATTGTAAATCATGGAGCAAATAAATCAACCTTAAGTGCAGCCATACAACTAAGTTGAAATGTGGTGTGTGTCTGTGTGTGAGTGTGTGTGTGCATGTATGTGTGTGCATCTGTATCTGAGTGTGTGTGTGTGTACCTGTATGCATCTATATGTGTGTGCATGTGTGTGGGTAGAAAAGGTACTGAAGGCAATACCCATACATAGTTAGAAATAAAAGGAAAATACCCATTAGAAGACTAGAACAGATCTAGCTACTTGAACTGTTGAAATGATAAGCCCACCTATATCTAGGGATTCAAGAAGCATTCAATGCTTCTTGAATTCAATTCAAGAAGAGATTCAGTGCTGACATTAGTCAATTCAACTGCAGGTAGAAATTCTCCACCTGGACCCTTCCATGTTCAGGTGCTAGATTTTGTTCTTATGGCCATCCCCCTCTTTTTTGACCCAGAACCTTCTTTCAAGACTACGACCCTTGTGATTCTAAAACTGGGGATAAAACAATTAATAGTCTCTCTACAGATCCAAAGTATACCTCAGTGACAGAAAAATGTGAACTATGAAGATTTGTTTGCTAGTTACCAAATTATTGCTGCTCACCTACAGGTACACCCTTCATTGCCTGCTCTATGATAATACAAAGGGATCCTATGAATATTTCTCCTTAGCCAGCTGACACAATGTCCCAGGCAGGAGAATCGCTTGAACCCAGGAGGCAGAGGTTGCGGTGGGCCGAGATCACGCTCTTGCACTCCAGCCTGGGCAACAAGAGTGAAACTCTGTGTCAAAAAAAAAAAAAAAAAAAAAAGAATCTTAAATGAATTAACCCTAAGCTATTCTCTATGGCCAATACCTCATGTTTGTTTTCATCTGTGGCTTTCCAGAACCATTTTTGTTGTTGGCTTCCTGTCTACTCACTATAGGGAAAATGAGCCCACTCAGCTCAAAAGAACTCTTGGTGGTGAAAATTTTGGAAGCCAGTGAACTGTTTGCCCTTACTCTCGTCCAGCTGGAGAATCTATAATCCTAGACACTAGCTACCCTTGCAGACCAATGCAGACCCACTGACTTAGATGACTCAGGCTCATTGTGTTCAAATGTGACCTGAAGGAAATCTACATAGAGGTGTGTGTAGGAATGAAAGCACTCCAGGAGTCTTATTTATTATACTTAACCAGTCACATTTTTATTAGCAGCTGGCAGCAACGAGGTCTTCTGAAAGACCAGGCAGCATCAAGAAAGAGAAACAAGAGAGGGTTTGCTAAAGTGAAATGAATTGACATCATCAGGAAATGCAAGCAGCAGTGTGGTAGTCCATGGTTGCTGAAAGGTTATTCTCGGTTAAGAAGGATCTCTTCGTGCCTGGACAAGTTCCCTGGTCAGCACCTGGAGAGAATGTGAAGGTGGAATCAGGGTAAAGTTAGAAAGCAGGCAGCATTTGTACTCGGTGGGAGGCAGGCACCCAGGGATGGCTATGCATTTATAGACAGCCGCAGACCCTCAGAGGAGGTGTGAAGAGGGCTCCATTAACAAAGTGTTGCCTTGCAGAAGCTGGACTCACAGCTGGGTTGGCATGAAGTCGGCAAGCAATTGGAGCCACTACTGGGTGATGTGCCTAAACCAGTCACACAGCAAGCTGATTTGCAGCCACTCTGGTTATAGGAAGGGGGTCCATCACAAGTTGGTTGGCCAGAAATCACAGTGTCACAAGAAGCTGGTTTGCAACAGTTCTTTGTGGAACAAGGGGCCTGGCAGTTAGCCACTGGCTGGTAGATGAAGCATGTGGAAGGAACCAGTTGGCAGTGAGGTGGCTGGCAATGGGAAGGCACACAGCAAGTAGTATTGCAAGAACTGAACACACAAGTCGATGGCTGGCAGGGAACAGGCATGTAGAGGGCTGATTGGCAAGGCTTGAAAATATAGCAGATGGGTTGATAATAAGTTGATTTACAGGGCTGGCCTTCACCACTGACGGGTTGACATGAACTTCCTTGGCACCAAGTTGGTTGGCATGGACTAGCTGTACAGATGGTTGGTAGGCAAGAAGTTTCCGGACAGGAGGTCACTTCAGAGCAGGATGGCTGGCAGGATCCAGCATCACAGCAGACTGATTGGCCACAAGCTGCCTGACATGATCCAGACATGCAGACAGATTCCTGGCAGGAGCTTTGCTGGCAGGGACTGGCATCGCAGCACTTTTCCTGACAACAAGTAGATTCCGAGCAGGATGGCTGACATGAGCTAACCAGACAAGGAGACTGACCAGTGCCAGACTGATAGCAGGCTGCGTGGGAGCACATAGGTTGGCAAACAAAACCCACACAAGACGTTGCTGGAAGGCGGGTAGGTTGACACGAAGCAGGATCACAGCCACTTGGGGCACCAATGGATGGCTGACAGCTTTCTTGGCATGTGACCAGTTGCCACATTCTGCTGTGGCAGGAACTAGGCAAACAGAGAGCATGTCGAAATCCACCTTTAACTGGGTATGTGGTGATGGTGGGCACAGCTGGAATGGCTGTGGTGTTTCCAGGACAACAGCCGTCTGCCATGGTGCTGGTGCTGACCTTGCTGGGAAGTTGCAAGCTCAGTATACCTGCATTGGAAAGACATCCGATACAGAGGGGCTTTTATAGTCCTTCACTAGGGGTGTTGGCACGCCATGCAGCATCTTTCCTTGTTATTGTTTTTACTCATTTGCATGCAAACATCTGATTAGCAGGCTTCAGGAGCCTGGGAGATGTTTCAACTTTGAAAAGGTGTCTGTTGAGTCGGGAGTTTTCTGCGCTGCATTTGGATTCGTTGACACTGCTCCTGCTCTTGGATGAGCTGTCTCTTTTACAGGTTGCTCTCCAGCCTCACTGAAGCAGGCCTTTCCTGGCACTAACCTTTCATCAGGAGGCCTCTGCCAAGCCAGAGTGGCCCTGCTGTTCCTCCAGGAATGCAGCTTTGCACCATTCAATCAGAAATGAAGCCTTGACCCAGTTTGGGGAGAGGATGTCAAGACGGGAAATGGAAAATTAGTCCAAGGAACCCAGGGACACTTAAGTGCCTCTACCTCTTTTTAAAACCTTCCCATTTATCATTCCTGAAACTTGTTTACTAGTACTATTACTAATAATAACAATAGAAATGGCTTTCATTTATTGCATAGTTACTAGATCAAGTCCTTGGCTGCATTTTTCACTGGATCCTCACAATGACTTCAGTAAGTATAATTGTCATCACTATGTTAGAAGTGGCAAAACTAAAAAAAAGTAATAAATAAAGAAGAAACCAGGTTTAAAACAAAGTTAAGATTAAAATATAAAACTTCATTGGCCCTTTTAGGAAGCTTAAAATCTCCCCCAAATTGGTTCCTCTCAAGATTTTTTTAGAACAGAAAAGAAGAAAACAGAAGTGGCAAAACTCATAGAGTTTAAATCATGTTCCCAAAATTATGCAAATGAAAAGGGGTAGAAACAAAATTCAAACCTAGCTTTGTCTGACCACCAAACCCCTGATCTTAACCACCTATTAGACCCCCTGACTTTGGGGAGGCAGGGAGAAGGCGACACTGATATAGTGGCTGCAGGCTGACACCCCTATGGCAACAGACTGGCTCGTGAGCAGGTTGCCCAGGCCCCATCCTGGGGATCCTCCGCCCACTCCAGTGACTGTAATCAGCAGCTAGACCACACTGGTGTGAGTACTTACCTCTACTTATCAATACACTCAAACACAGTCTTTTAATTTTGGAAATTTTTTAAACTACCAAATATTTCATCAGGAAGTATCAAACCCACCCTAGGGCATCAATAGCATATGAATTCTATACAAATAAAAACACGCCAGCAGTGATAATAAAAAAAATCACTGTAAAGTGGTGTTAATGTTAAACCAATCCCTTCCAAGAGGAATTCGTGAGGGACTTTCTTGGCCCTTCTGCTTTTCCTCCGGGCTTGTCCTGGCTCCGCATCACCAACCAGGTCCGGTGTTCTACACCAGCCAACGTTCTGGCCGGTTCACGCTGGAGGCACATGACGGAGTGGAAAGATCACGGTGTGGGGAGCCAGATGGGGCTGGCCTTGATTTCTGGCTCTGCCACTAACTCATTCTGTTGAATATGTTAGCTAATTACCTAAGTCTTCAAAGTATGGCGATTTCATCAACTGCGTTGTCATGTCTCAGGTTAGTTTTTTGTGGGTGTTTGTTTGCTTTGGTTGCTTCACAAATTATTGAAAATACTGAAAACGCTGAAGGGTACTTTGCAAACCCCCAGCTACAAAATGCCTTCTCCTTGGCACCCTCTTCACCTCCATTTTAAAAAGAAGAGAAACATTTTTGATCAGAACAATGTCTGGAAAACCTTCTCCCCTGCCATTGAAATGCCTTTTTCCCCACAGTTGGTTTCTATGTCACACCATGGATCACTTCTTTTGCCCTCCTTCTTGTCTGTATTCATGTTGGCATCTTTCAATCTGCAGGAATCCATGCACTGTGTTTTATTGCTGAATATTTACCCCCAAAGCTCTTCATCTTCCCAGAGGATGTATTTAATACTTTCAGTCTTACCAAATATGTCAATCAAACTGGGAACATGAGCATGTTTGAAAAATCACATCAACTTCAGTCCAATATCCTATACCACTTTTATAGTTTTAAAGCAATCCATTCTACATCCATTTTTCTCTAAGTGATTCTGCTCTTGTTTTCTTTTCTCCTAAAGGAAACTCTTAATAGCAAGAACATCTGTCTTGCTGTAGTTCAAGGCACTAAAAACACCTAGTGTATCAACAAAGACACCTGTGACCACATTGAGACATATCATGATCCATACAGAACCTAGGCTTTGGAAAGAACTGGGTTTTAGTCATTTGCATGTTACTTATTAGCCATGACAATCGTGAATTTTATCACTCCCTTTATATATATGTGTTTGTGTGTGTACATATGTGTATAAATGCATGTATACTCATACATATGTGTGTCTGTGGTTTTTGAACAATACACACATATATGTTTGAGTGTGTGTATATATATACACACATTATATTAATATACATAAATATATACACACACGTATGGTTTTCTGGAGCTTGTTTATATCAATCAACACTATGTTAGTAAGATTCATCCATGCTATTGCATGTCGCCATTTTCCAGTCATCTTCACAGTATAATATCCCATTGGGTGAATATACCACAATTTAATTGTCCATTGATGGGCACTTGGATTGTTTGTCCTTCGAATTCTGCATCTTATGTATAGGTGAAAAAATAGGAGAGAATACATATTACTTCAAAGAATTGCTGTAATCCATATGAAATGCTTAGTCCAGTGCTTGGCACAGAGGTTCAAAACCCTAGCCAACTCCTGTGTGTGTGTGTGTGTGTGTGTGTGTGTGTGTGTTTAGACAGAATCTCTCTCTGTCGCCCAGGCTGGAGTGCAGTGAAGTGATCTTGGCTCACTGCAACCTCCTTCCAGATTCAAGCAATTCTCCTGCCTCAGCCTCCTAGTAGCTGGGACTACAGGCGTGCGCCACCATGACCAGCTAATTTTTGTATTTTTAGTAGAGATGCGGTTTCACCACGTTGGCCAGGCTGGTCTCGAACTCCTGACCTCAGGTGATTCACCCACCTCGGCCTCCCGAAGTGCTGGGATTATAGGCTTTAGCCACAGCATCCGGCTGGCCAACTCCCCTCTTGACTCTGGAAGGAGACAATGATAAATCCCAATGGCTTGATGAGACAGTAACTCCAACACCAATGTGATTAAGTTTTGCTTTTGACTTTCTCCCTCTGCCATAGTCTGACCCAGTGGTTCTCAAACAGGGGTGATTTTTGCACTCCCAGGCAATGTTTGGCAATGTCTGGAGACATTTGTGATCATCACCCTCAAAGGATGCTACTAGAATCTGGTTCATAGAGGCCAGGGATGCTGCTTAACATCCTATAATTCACAGGACAGCCTTTACAACAAAGAATCGCCCAGCCCAAAATGTCAATAATGCTGAAGTTGAGAAGCCCTGGTCGACCCTCACACTGTGCTCATGATGACTCAAGCTGCCCCTTGAGGACAAGGAATAGGCCTCCATTCTGTGCACTAAGTGTAGGGAGTGACTGCTTTGAAGAGACTCTGTCCTTGGATTTTGTAAGATACAGAATTTATCCTATGAGTGTCTTGGAGGAAGTAGGAGAACATAAACAAAATTCTCACACAAGAAATCCAAGTTACCCAACCTTCTTTGTTGTAAGTATGATCCCTGATCCCCACTTGTTTTTCTTCCTGTGGACCCAAAAACAATTGGCTTCCTTTCCTCCCCAGTCTCTCTATATCCAGAACCATGTTCTTCCATTGAGTTCTCCACACCAACCAAGGCCAGAGGGATGTTCCAAAACCAGTGCTCTTCCTGTCACCTCCTTGCATGCAGCCCCTTGATGCTTTCATGTCAGCCCTGCATCAAACCGAAATACCTCTGTCTAGCATGCAAGACCCCACATAGACAGATCACTGTCTACGACCTGACCTCATGGCTCATTCCTCAAAGAACAACTCTCCCATGCCTCACCTAATGAACAATTTGCCCTCAAGCCCCATTCACTTGTACAAGTCTCCTTTGCCTAGAAAGTTTTTCCTTTCCTGTTTGTAACTGGTTAATTCCTACTCATACTGAAAGACTCGATGCCAGTATCACATTCTCCAATAATTCTTTCCTTGTTCCCCAACTATGCTCTGCTGAGTTCATGGTGCTCTATGCTTATCTCCAAGTACTTGGCACAAAGGAATGTCATAATTGTCTTGCTGCCCACCAGAGAGTGAGTTTCTTG